>NC_000003.12:133099513-133251028 GCF_000001405.40 Homo sapiens | reverse complement strand
AAACCTCAAATGAAGTGAAACAAACAAGCAAGCAAACAAAATTCAAGAGATTCTTGTCTTGATAACATGCTATACAATTTTAACACAAGTGGCTCAATACCAAAGAATTCTGCTTTAAGAGATGGGAGAGAAAGAGAAAGAAAAATGAGAGGCAAAGTAAATTTAGAGTTGAAAGGATGGATACATTAAAAAAATACACCATCACCCCTATGGTTAGAGATAATAGTTATGTTGTAAATTATTATATTTGCTACTCAGTATTATTTCCATATCAGAACAGAAATCCCCCCAAATCATATGGTAGCCTGAAAAACACAATTGTTTAACATTTCATGATTTGCAAATATAGCACAAAATCCTATTGAAAAATTACTGAGGCTATTGCTGCTAACTGTACAAGTGGACATGCTAACATCAAGAATAGAGTTGACCCTTGAACAATGCAGGAATTAGGGGTGCAAACCCCCTGCACAGTTGAAAATCCACATATAACTTTTGACTCACCCAAAACTTAACTACTAATAGCCTACTGTTGACCAGAAACCTTACTGATAACAAAACAGTTGATTAGCACATATTTTGTATGTTATATATACTGTATTCTTACAATAAAGTAAGCTAGAGAAAGGAAAATGTTATTAACAAAATCATAAGAAAGAAGGAACATATTTACTATTCATTAAGTGGAAGTAGATGATCATATAGGTCTTCATCCTTGTTGTCTTCACACTGGCTTCACGTAGGCTGAGGTAGAGCGGAAGAGGAGGGGTTGGTCTTGTTGTCTTAGGGGTGGCAGAGATGGGAGAAAATTCACATAGAAGTGGACCCACATTGTTCAAGGGCCAACTGTATAATGCATGAGAAGTCTATTTCCTAGCATAGTCCTATCTAGAACTAAGCCAGAGTCCTATATTTCTAGATCATTTGATGTTACTCTACTGACACCTCAAGAGCTTAATTGTTTGAAGTTTAAAAAGTACACATAACTACTCTGGAGGCCAAGTTGTGAGGACTGCTTGAGCCTAGAAGTTCTAGGCCAGCCTGGGCAACATAGTGAGACCCTTTCTCTTAAAAAAATTAAAAACATATAATGATTTTCATAAACTGAAATTTCCTTTTCTTATTAAAAATGTTTCTATTATATGCATGATAGTCACTTAAATTACCATATTACTCAAATAATTTAAAAGCTCTTTGTTCCTTAATGTAGTGAAAATTTATTCACCACAGAAGTTAATTTAAAATTATGGTACTTTATATGTTCATCTCAGCACTATTCACCATAACAAAGACGTGGAATCAACTGAGGTACCTATCAACAGTGGACTGGATAAGGAAAACGTGGTACATGTACACCATGGAATACTATACAGCCATAAAAAAGAATAAAACCATGTCCTCTGCAGCAACATGGATGGAGCTACAGGCTATTATACTAAGTGAATTAATGCAGAAACAGAAAACCTAATGGCACATGTTCTCACTTATAAGTGGGAGCTAAGCATTGGGTACTCATGGACATAAAGATGGCAACAATAGACACTGGAGACTACTGGAAGGTGGAGGGAAGGAGGAGCAGTAAAACATCGGTTTACATCTGTCATGCTCAGAGTGTTCCCTACTCTCGTTTTTCCCCTCAACCCCTTCAAAGCTTTTCTATAATTAACCACAGTGTGACAGAAATAGTTTAAGGGCTAACATTCTCTGCCCTTTACTGCACTGATGCAGCCTAATAGTTTTCCGTCTTTATTTATTTCCTCAGTTTCTTTTCACCCTCTGAAACACAGTGGGGCTGTCCCATTACTGTCTCTTCCTCCTATCACATCAGCTTCAATGAAGAGGCTTAAGTTCCACAACTAGAGTATCAGACTTGACGCAAATTGTGAATATTTCTTTTGGCACTGTGAAGGAGATGTCATGATTATACATGCTTCCTTTCTGGCCTTTCCTACCTCTACCCTCCCAGGCCCAGCTGGTACCTGGAATAAACTGGATGAGGAGGAGGCCCACCAGCACCCTGAAATACCTCTTTCATCATCTGATAACCCCCTCAGTGACCACGCAAAGGTAGCAGCTTTTAATCAGCAGCAGGAGTGAGTGCATTCTCTGAGGGCTAGATGAAGGCTAATTTAATTCAAGAAACAATTAAGTGGATGTATATTAGAAGCCAGATTTCTTTCCCCATCCTTTTTCACAGTTGCTATAATAATCCAAGACTTCTAAAAATACAGCCATAAGGATGGCACAACCAGAGCCTGCTAACCAAAAAATAATGAGGCTAAATGAGCTACAGATTCCTCAGCTTATAAAAGGAATAACCCACTGCCATAATGGGTTGCAACATTTCCTTTCCTAAATATTACCCAGCCAATATCTGATTTGAGAGCCAGTACCTCTATCCTGCTACTGTTTGTTTTATTTTTTTAAACAGACCCAGGGGAGAAACAAAAAGACCAACTACTAAAGCTGCTAAAACAAGATAAAGCATACTGCAAGGGAAAGGCTGGAGCAGTTCACTGGCTGAAGTTATAAACTCCATCAAGAGACACACAATCAGATGGCACAACTGTCTTCAGTGGGTCACAGTTTTCCAAATACAAAGGCGGTGCCTACCGAAGCTCTGGGATTCTGGAAAATATACTGGACTTGGAGTAAGACAATCTCAGTCCATGTTCCTAGTTCTAGGATTTTAGGCATAACACTTGGCTTTTAGGGCATTGTATTTTCTTTATAGTAACATGGTATTAAAATGATGCCTATCAACAGGCTTGTCAGGATGAGTCAACAGCATATTAGATGGGAAAACACCATAAAGTACAAAAGGCTTGTTATCGTCAGTCTCCTTTGGTTGTTATATTGGTTAAGAGGACTAATTGTTGCCTCTCTCCAAGTTCAGAACTAATTCAAACATACATAGAGGAGTCAGAGGTGGATCAAACATTATTTTTATTACTAGTTAAGTTGGATTTAAGAACATGGCTTGACTTATAGCTTCCTACTGTATCCTATAACACACTATTTTTTCATATTCTGCCCTTTCTCCTTGATTATACTATAAGCTTTTGGAGAGAAGAAATTATGCTTTATATCTCTCTGCATCCCTAGAGTTTTTCACACAGCCATAACCCCAGCAGGTGTGCTATCTGATAAAGGAGACTGCATTTGTACCACAGTTTTCTATGTGAAGCCTTTTTTCTCCACTGGCCTGGGAACTCTTGGAGGGCAGGGTTCATGTCTTTTCATTCCCAGTGCTTAGCATAATACCTAGCACATAGTAGATTCTTTATAAAAGTGTGTTGAAAGATCATGAAAACAGAAGGGTACCAAATGATCTGGTGCCACCCAGGGGTTGCAGAGAGGGATTTATTTATTTTTTATTTTTTTTTTAGGATTATTATGAATAACAGTGAATATAAATATGGATTGAAAATAGTCCTTTTGGTGATTTCAAAATTTTCTGGTTGGCCTCTGAGACAGGTGGCATCTTAATGAAAGAGGGGAAGCTCCCCATCTGGGAAGGCTCAGAAGTGGGGCCTACCCTATTTCCTTAACACTCAGGACACTAGGAAGCCTTGCAGTTTACTTGTATCCAAGTGAGGGGATTTGCCTATTCTGTTATCTACTTTGAAATGTTAGCTCCTAAAACATGGGCAGGTAGCTTAAAAAGACATCTGAAATAAACACTGGATTGAAGGCAATGCTAATAATGGAAGCACAAGTGAACAACAAGCAAAAGGCAGGCTGACACTTCTATTATTCTTGATATAAACTTTTCTTCAACCATGTTATAAAGTAAAAAATAACGATGAACTAAGCAGAGAGGGATTTAAAGGAGGGCTGTCTTCTAAGGATCCCATTCTTGACAGTTTGTTCATTTGGAAAATAGCACTACCTGCAAATTATTGTGATTGAAGGTTTTATTTGAGACAGTTTTCCCCAGGAGAAACTTCAGCTTCTGTTTACTTGTTAGGCACCCTGGCTATCTGGGCATCTGAGCCCTGGACATCTTAATTAGAGTTGGTCTGCTAATGTCCATAGCAGAGAGGAACTGTCACTTGGTAATTAAGTTAGAGCCATGACAGAAGCCTGTGACATCTGATGTTTCAGAATATAACAACCCTTGTTCTTCTCCCAAGGGATGCACACACCATGAAACAATTTCCTTTGGAGTTGCTGGTAGAATCTGCTAACATAATATCTAAGATGAGATGGCATGCAGAGGTCTCTGTAAGGGGTGAGGACCTCAAAACACTCTTGTGAAGTATGCTGCTCCTCAGTTCAGGGCCTTGCAGAGGATCTGAGACAACAAACCTTCCTATACAGATAAACTCTCGGTGCCTCAGTGGAGTGAGTGCATGAGATGTGGCTTACTCAGCTGTGGCCACCTGGGCAGGGTTGTTGTGGAGTCAGGTCCTCTGCTTTATGTGATTGTTTCTGTGTTTTTTAAGCCCTGAGCTGTGCTTCCAGAGATGTCTGCACCTGTGCACTGCATTTTGGACTATATGCTCTGTGGACGCTGTGAGAATCCCCTAACTTTGCTTTTTTTTTTTTAGGACAAATCAGAATAAAACAATTCAACTTTCAAGGTATTAAAAGGATTCACCAACTCCTATCTCTTAACACAATGGCCAAAAAACTGCTGGACTCAAGGCACAGTCATGTATTCCTGGCATAAGGCCTGCCTGGGTGTTCTAACTCAATGAGCCCCACATGCCAGACTATTTCCACAGAGCTGATATGGGACAGGAAGGGCTAAGGAACTTCAAAACTAATAGTTTGGTGCAACTGATATGGACCTGTGCAGTCACTGACCACATGTAGCACTGAGAACTTGAAATGTTGCAAGTGTGACTGAGGAAGTGAATTATTAAAACTTATTTTTAACTAAATTTAAAAGGTGATAGCTAATTCAGTCACTAGAAACATTTTAAGTATGTAAGTCTACTTTTCCAATCGTAAGTTTTATGAAATCTAACCAACTATTTATGAAAAAAATTCAGTGTCTAAATTGAAGATGTGCTATAAATGCACATTATATAGGAGATTTAAAAGACCTGGTCTGAAAAAAAAAAAGAAAGCAAATATTTCACTAGATTTTTTTATTGATTATATGTTGAAATAATGTTTTGAATACATTGGTTTAAATACAAATATTATTTAAATTGCTTTTGCCTATTTCTTTTCACTTTTTCTACTGTGGCTACTAGAAAATTTGAAATTACATATGTGCCTTGTGTTCTATGTCCATTAGACTGGGCCAACCTAGACCATAATTCTCATTCTCTCTAATGAAGTCTCATCCAACAATATGGACCACTTGAGAAACCTGCTCATTGTTCCTCTGTCCAGTTCATTCCACTTTAATGCCATGTTTCTTTGGTCTCCCATGTGCCAGGCATTGTTCTAGGCTAAGAATACACCATGTGGGCTCTTAACTGACTGTAGGCAATAAACAAAGAACAACAAAAAAAATTGTATAATTTCAAGTGCTGTGCAGAACTTAAACTAGGGAAAAGTAATGGAGAGAGACTGGGTGATGTGTTTATGCTGAGTGGTGAGGGGAACTGCTGTGGGGAGGTCCTGGGGCTGTAATCTGAACAGCAGGGAGCCACCCATGCCAGGCTGGGACAAACAACTGGTCAAAGAACTTCGCAAGGAATAAGTTGAAGTGCTTGAAGAAGGAAAAGAACATCAGTGTGACTGGAGTACTGCTGTGCAGAGGGATGTAGGAGAGGACATCCTAGCATGCACACTGCACTGAGAATCTGGACTCATGCTTAAGCCTCTTCTCTCACATCAACTAGGCTTGGATCCTGGGTAAGTCACTTCTCCACTCAGGATGGCCTCCATTTCCTCATGCACTAAACACAGTGGCAATTACTAAAGGATCTTCCTTTCAGGTCTGACGGCATAGACTTTTGTGACTCTTCTGTATATTCTAGGGAATAAAAGTCCTGTCCTAGAAAATTAAAGAAAGAGGAAACAAACAGAAACACTCTGACCCTTTAAAGATTTAGCAACTGCTTATCTGATGCTTACCTTTCTCTTCCTCTCCCTCTTCTTTAAAAAAATGAAAATTACATGACATCTAGCCAACCCACTCTCATATAACATCAAAGGGTAAACTTCTAAATTCCCTGTTGTACACACAAGAATGTTTTCCTCCAAAATCTGGACCACCTTCCTCACAAATACAATCAGATGTCCTGCACAGAGACTGCCCTTCTTTATAATTAGACTACAATTCCTATGAAAGTCAATATTTTCTAGTTTTCAGAACTTTACGTTTTCGAAGTATTCCTTGAACTTCGGGAAATTTGGAGGATTGTCAGGCTGGCAATGATTCTGCCAAAAGTTTCTTCTGTGGCAAAACATTATCAAGGAGACCACATCTATAAAAGCCACATCTCCAGGGAAAGAATAAAATACCTGGTCATACTCATTTATCATTATGATTTAATAATGCAAAAGAGAGGCCCATGGGACTACATCCAGGGCGAACTTCAATTACATCTCTAACCCAGGGGCATATGACAAATGTTTAACAATCAGCCCTTCACCAGCCATCTCCAGCCCTTACATGGAACCTCCATACTGGTTTTCAGAGAATGAGACTTAGGACGGGTTCATAGAGGAGAGGAGGAAGATGCAGTAAGTTGTATTTGTAACATGATACATGAGAACCAGGAACAAGGTCCTAGCAATGGAAGCGAGATGAGGTTTTACTTTATATTCAGAGAGATGGGAGGAGTAGGGGAGCACATGATGATGATGGTAAGAATAACATCAGCCCAACATTTATAGCACTTTTTAAAATGCTTTGTATATATTAAACCAATCAAACATGTTAACATGTAGGTCACTAATTTAAAATGTTTAAACAGAGCTTGGCACATCTTCAGTGCCCTTAACCAATGACTGAGAGATCCGAGATTATAATACTCTGTCACCCGATGAAGACAAGTCCAAGGTGTGACCTATAATCTCACCAGAACTCTCAAGACAGACTGCAACAAAGTCAATCTCTGTGGAGTTTTGCTTGATACTCATCCTTTCTTCCCTTTCCAGGCCCACTACCCTTTTCCCCTATCAGTTATTCCTGGGAAACCTTCCTAATAAGTCACTCCACAGGACTCTTGGTCTCAGGGTTCTAGGTCTGCTTCTAGGGACCGCCCAACCTACGACACTCATTAAAAAAGACATGAGGCCGGGCGCGGTGGCTCATGCCTGTAATCCCAGCACTTTTGGGAGGCCAAGGCGGGTGGATCACGAGGTCAGGAGATCGAGACCATCCTGGCTAACACAGTGAAACCCCGTCTCTACTAAAAAAAGTACAAAAAATTAGCCGGGCGTGGTGGCAGGCGCCTGTAGTCCCAGCTACTCGAGAGGCTGAGGCAGGAGAATGGCGTGAACCCAGGAGGCGGAGCTTGCAGTGAGCCGAGATCGCGCCACTCTACTCCAGCCTGGGTGACAGAACGAGACTCCGTCCCCCCCACCCCCCGCCCCAGAAAAAAAGACATGAATATTTCCCCAATCAGACCAATTTTAGTGTGAAATATGAACATTTTTCCTTATGAAATTTGTATAGCTAGGTTATTTAAATAAGAATTATATTTTATTTTTTAGCTCAATTATTTTACACTTAACTGCAGGTCAAAATAACAATAACATCAATTAAAGAACGTTAACTATATTTGTCTAAGCCTCCTTTTCCTCCTTCAGGGATTCTCCTGTGTCACAGTGAGAACTGGTTAGATGTGACCCCATGTGTTTATACAAGCAAGCTGCCCAGCCACTCTCACTTGCTTTTAAACAGCACTCCTCAGGCTCAGGGGCTGTCCCTACCTCATAGTGACCTCCGGGCCAGCAACTGGAATCTGAACAATTACCATCCCTTCTCAAGCGGCCCACTCTAGAGCTTCCAGCCCTTCCATCTCATTCATCTTCCACTGCTTCCAGGGATGCCCAGGCATGATATTGCTTCCCTGGCACAATATTGCTTCCCTGGGTGATTCTTGGACCCTTGTTTCTCTGCCTTTTGGGCAAAGTGGGCACATTGCAATTTCTTCATCTAACCAAGGAATTTCAAAGCAAACTGCTGCATTTCTTTTCATCTCAGAGGGTTCTGGGGCTCTCTCCTGAGCTGCTGTATACTTAGCTGACCTCAAGCTGCCAGCACAGAGCCTGGGCTCTGTTCTGTGGAAAAATAGTTGTGTGACTTTGAGAGAACATCTTACACTGTTCTCTCAAAGCACTTACACTCAGTGTTAATCTGACTCACTGATCACAGGACAGGGGATTCTCATTCTTGCCTCTTCTCATCAAACACGGAACAATCATGCATCTAGCACTAGCACTGGTTGACAAGGGCAGGAGAGACCCTGAGCACCAGTGCTACATGTGAGCATGAGAATCACGTGTAGAGCAGTTCCTGCCCATCAGTGTGCATCTCACCTCATCTGAAGCTCACATGCCTATAGCACTCAGTCCCCACACACCCTTCCCGGGAGCTTTTAGACCAGCTCAACACATTGGTTTTTAAAACACTCAGCTCTCTATCCCTGCCAGTTGTAGCCTTCTCTTGCTCTCACTTTATGGTTAAACTTCTCCAAAAAACTGTATAAACTCATGGTTCCATCTCTTCACCTTCTACTTACTTCTTGGCCTGTACCCTCCACTTACTGAGCACCTTTTCTGAACTCGGCACTATGCTAAGTGTGTCATATATTAATAACTCTATGCAGAATAGCAGTATCACAGTGTAGTTGATTGAATGGTGGTCTCCCAAAGGACATATCCACATCTTAACCCTGAAACCTCTGAATATGATCTTACTGGGAAAAATGGTCTTTGCAGATATAATTAAGCATCTTGGGATGAGCTTATGATAGATTATCCAAGTGTGCCTTAAATCCAATGACAGAGGAGAGATACATGGAAAAGAGGAGAAGGCCATGTAAAACGGAGGCAGAGATTGGAGCCTTAGAGCCTTCAGAGAGAGTGTGGCCTCCCCTCAACACCCTGATTTTGGACTTTTGGCCTCCAAAACTGTGAAAAAAAATTCTACTATTTTAAGCCACAAAGTTTGTGGTAATTTGTTGTAGAAGCCACAGGAGGCCGGGGGTGGTGGCTCATGCCTATAATCCCAGCACTTTGGGAGGCTGTGGCAGGTGGATTACCGAAGGTCAGGAGTTTGAGACCAGCTTGGCCAACATGGTAAAACTCTGTCTCTACTAAAAATGCAAAATTAGCTGGGCGTGGTGGCGTGCACCTGTAATCCCAGCTACTTGGGAGGCTGACCAGGAGAATCACTTGAACCTGGGAGACAGAGGTTGCAGTGCACCAAGATCATGCCATTGTACTCCAGCCTGGACAAAAAGAGCGAAATTCTGTCTCAAAAAAAAAAAAAAAAAAAAAAAGCCACAGGAAACTAATACAAACACTCATTTTACAGACAGGGAAACTGATGAAGATGCTCTGGAGGACATGAGCAATGCGGCTGCCCACAGCTCATAGCTGAGTGATATCCTGGTACAGTCGGAACAAAGGCAAATGATTTATCTTCAAGGAGCTGCTAGGATGCTTGCAGCAGATAATTGATTCCCTTGAGCAGAAAGGCTAGAAAACTTCTGAGGGGAGGAGCAAAGAGATGAGAAAGCTTGGTGATGCAAATGACCCAAAGGAAGGGAACGGAAATGGATGAACAGGAGAGGGAGAAAAGAAAGAAGATGCTGCAAAGGCAATGTATCTTAGGTTTGGGGGGCTTTTGGGGTTCTAGCTTGAAGAATCTCCAGTGTCCATCACATATATAAAGGCAATGATTAAGTGTTTCAAAAATGTTTCAGATATTTATTACAAAGACAATATGAAACTGCTGGAAAAAACTCTTTTTTCATTTAAAATATTCTGTTTGAATTTTCCTTCTTCAGAAAAATCTCCCAGAATTATACCAGATTTTAACAAAGACGACAGTTCTCTGTTGGTTAAAAATAGCCCCAATTCATGAGGTTTATGTGTATTAATGAGCATTCTACTGAATTCAAATCTGGGTGAGGACATCTAGACTACCTTTCACATTTCTTTTTCTTTTTTTTTTAAATAAGATTTGCCAAACAAAAATAAGATTTGCTTACAATATTACAACAAAAGTAATGTTATTTAATGATAGTAATACAGCAAACCCATGTTTGAAAGGGATTTTCAACACATGAAATGTTTTTATACCCTACCCATTTAACTCTCACAACAATCCCTAAGGTAGACAATATACTGGTCACCTGTGCATTGTAGTTGAGGACAATGAGGGAGCTCTGGGAGCTGAAGCACTCTGTGCAGTCATATAGCTAGTAAGAGACAACATGAGAGCTTGAAATTCTATGCTTTCTCCCACCATATATTTTAGCAAAAATACTTTCCTATAGAAAATTGGGTTTACTCATTAAGGGTTAACATTTGAATTTACATAAATCAACAGCTCTCCTAAGTATGAGCACTACTTCCCTCACCTACATTCTTCTGCCAACAGTGTAATGGAATGTACTTAAATTCATAAAATTGAATTTCTTTAAAATATTTTTTCTTAGTCCCCATTGGCATTGTTTACAATGAGAATGTCTTATTAAACTTTTGTTTTATCTGCAGAAGAGAATTGTTGACTTATGCAAATTTAAAATCACTACCTAAAACATAAGACATTAAATCAACATGACACTTTCAAGGACCTGGTATGCCTAAACTTTCTGGGTTAATATCATCTTGGAAAGAGTCACTTCCTCAAATTTTCTATGTGAATGACTTACCCCTCAGAAGTAAAGAGATCTATTCTCCCTAGAGAACTTTTGCAAATCTCTTCATAATCAAGCCCCCCAAAAACAGCCTCTAATTTTTGATTTGCAAAAGAATTACACAGCATAAGAAAAAAAGTCTTATAAAATCAAGTTCTAAAATGAGACAGCTGCAATAAGCAGTCAAGACCAAGAGTTACTCAAAAGGTGTTTTCCTTTTGCTTTATAACCCTAGCCAGCCCATTCCTTGTGCCCTTCTCATTCTTAAAACAGAGTAAAAACTAACTTCCAGTACATCCTGAAGAATAACATGAAACTTCAAGTTCTAACAGTTCCTAATCCCACAACACTTGAGAGGAATTCTGCTAGCTCCTTCTCTGTCACCTTCTCTCCATTCTCCTTCCTAACTGATCCTGGTTTTATTCCAGAACTCACTTCTCCATCATGTAGCCCAAGTGAGGTAGGGAAGCTAAAAGCGTCTCCTGCTCCTGGATAGCCCTTCATAAGTCTACAATAGCGATTCTCAAGGTCTCTGGACCAAAGCTTCAGCACTACTAGAGACTTAGACATGTAATTCTTGGCCCAGCCCCAGATCTACTGAATGAGAAACTCTGGGGGTGGCCCAGTGATCAGTGTTTAAATAAGCCCTTAAGGTGATTCTGTTGTGCACTAAAGTTTAAGAACCAGAGATCAAAGCTAGTGACCCCAGCCCTGGTTGCGCATCAGAATCACTGGATGCCCCAGCCCCATGCCCAAAGATTCTGATTTAATTGCTCTGGGACGGGGTCTGGGAAAGTGGATTTATTAAAAAAAGTTCCCGAGGTGATTCTAGTGTACAGCCAGATTTGGGAAACACTAATCAAAGCCAATCAAGTTAATCTAGTCTAAAATACTGAATTTTAGTGTCAATGAAGTGGATGCCCTCCAATATCCATAAGGCCAACTGATGACCAGAAGTGTCATTACTGCTACTGCAGCCACTGCTAGTAGCACAAGGGAACTGCAGGCTGATGAACTGGTCTACGCCACTAAATGCTGTTTATTTCCTCAAGAGCAATGAGTCTTTGATAGCTCAGGAATGATGAATTTGTAAGGGGTGGGGGACACAAAACCCAGCACCTATTTAGCAGTGGTATGTTTTGGATGGAAAAGGATGAAAATAATTTGGAAAATAATTTGTGGTATGCCAGGACTTGAACTCACGCAGTCTTAATCACTGTCCATGAAGGCTGTGACCAAGCAGTGTAAAACACAAGGGAAGACAACTTCACTGGGAAAGGTGGAGGAGGAAAGGAAGACCCCATAAAGAATGGTGAAGTTCCGTTCATCTCCTCACACTAGGGAAATGACTCTGACTCTTATGTATACAGAATGGCAATATCTGTATGATTGTCTGTAACATCTAAAAGGTCACGTATTTTTGGAGTCAAAATTTGTTTGGACCTAAATACTATGTCATTTATAATTCATATCAACTTTCCTTCCTCAACTACAGGAAAAATTTCCTCTCATTTATCATGAGAAACAAGCCATGAAGACAAAATACATGAGCCAGCTTCAGCTAGAGATGACCCAGCTCCTTGAATCTCTCTCTAGTTTCTGAAGGGAAATTCTTTTGTTCCATGAGGCCCACCTAGGGTGGGAGCTAGAACTACAGATGGGTTTGCTGAGACCTGATACTAAAGGAGAATTTAGTGGCAGAGGCTCAGAAAGTACATTTCCCAGTTAGCCACAATCCAAATAATTCTGTATTTTATCTATACTTGTGTTTCCATATTGTAAGATGTAATTGATAGTGTGTGATTGTTTAAGAAACGTTTTGTCTTTTTTAGTGGTTCATAAAATAACAGTGGCTCTTAAAACTACTAGCATCTTAGATTTGACGAAATATGTTAATTAAATCAAACATGTATGACTCCCATTATGAATCAAGCTCCCGATTAGACTGGAAACAAAGGAATGGATGATGAAATAGAATTCCCATGCCTGAGAAGCTAGACAAAAAGAAAACAAGCACATGTATAATCAGAGCTAAATATTTTGTGGTGGACAGAGTATGTGTTATGATGGCTGGAACACACTGTGTTTGTCTATTGGGTAGAATTGTGTGGTGTATGTGTGTGAGTGAGGGAGGAGGGATATGAAAGGGAGAAGGGATAAGAGATGAGGCTGGAAAGGTAGTCCGGGACCAGACTATTAATGACTCTAACACTAACCTAAGGAATTTAGGATTTATCCTTTAGGTCAGAGGTTCTCAAACATTTTGGTCTCATGTCCCCTTCATACTCTTAAAATTTATTGAGGACTCCCCAAAGAGCTTTTCAAAATATAGGTTATATCTATTGGTATTTACTATATTAAAAGTTAAAGCTGTAAAACAAAAAATATTAACTCATGACAAACTCATTACTCTTAACAAATAGCATTTTTAATGAAAAAGCATTTGCTAACACAAAAAATTAGAAGGATGGCATTGTTTTATATTTTTGTAAATCTCTTTAGTGTCTGGCTTATGAAAGACAGCTGGTTCTCTTATCAGCTTCTGCATTCAATCTGTTGAGATATGTTATTTTGGTTGAAGTACAGTACATGGAAAAAAATCTGGCTTTATAAATATGTATAGTTGGAAAAAGAAGGGCCTCACAGACTTCTTGTAAAAGCCTCAGGGGTCCCTAGGGATTCTTGGATCACATTATGAGAACTGCTGCTTTTGGTAATGCAAAGCCATGGAAAGATTATCAGATGACAAGCAGCTAATTTGGCAGTAATGTGAAGATGAATTAGAAGGAGAAGACCTGAGAATAGGACAATAAACAGAGGACTATTAAAATGGTCCAGAAAGAACATAGAAAGCTGTTCTCTAAAGCTGAGACAATGGGGATGCAGAGACATGAATGGATTCATGTGTTAAGTTCAACAGGAGCTAGTATTGCTAGTATCCAAATGCATCCAGGGTAGGGTGGGAGGAAAGTCAAGGATGGCTTCATGTATTTGGGATTGCAAAATCTGGTTGGATGGTGATAATACAAAGGTGTACATACAGCATAAGAAGATCATTTCTGGTGTTAGCTGGACAAAAAAAAGGAAGAAGAAATGAGCCAGCAAGGGAAATATGCAGATTCCTGACCCATGACTCTGAGAGACACAGACAAATGCGCAGACCCTAGGAAGCTTACCTCTTTAAACTACTGTACTCAATGCTGTTTAAAACAATACCAAATCACTTCAAAATGCAAATATCTCTGACAGCTAAGGAGGGAGGAGCTCCTTAACTCTCCTTAACCAGTAAGCACATCTTGGTATTACTTAGTTTAGTCAAATTGCTTTCCATCTTAATGGAATACATGAGAACTTCAGATCACAGACCACAGGAGGACATCTGAGATGAGAAGGTAGCATGTTGGGGGCTTTGGGTCTAATATGGGACAAAAATAAGCATGGAAGAAGAAAAAGAGAGGGGAAATGTCAGTCTCTTGAAAAAGATATAGTTATGTGGATCCTTCTAGTTTAAGAAGTAACTGGAAGAAAGAATAGTCACTGGGTAGCTGGTAGGCAAGAAGGAATGGTTAGAGTTGAAAAGGCACCAAAGAGAGTTCTCTCACTTTAAAGTGTTTTCAAGGGTTCCACTCAGTTCCAGAGATCACATGAGAAGCAGATCATCCCATCAGAAAATAGGTTTCAAGTGGAAATGAACTCCCAAGCAGCTTCTCATTAGGCCCAGAAAAATCTACAGACAGGTAATATGGATTTGTGTGTGTGTGTTTGTGCGTATACATACATATAATTCAAATCTGAGACTGAGACATGATCTCCATGCCCCAGGTAAAGATGGCAGAAAAGGGGGTGTATTTTCCTTCTAAATTCTATAGAGTAGGGGTCCAAATCCATACCAGTAGTTCTTTTTTCTCCTTCTTCCCCTCCTTTTCCTAAGATAGGGACCTACAGACAGTTATCTGAGTTGAACAAAAAATTACTTTGTGTGATTTGACACAGACCAGTAGATGCAAAGGGTGCATGAATGAGCTAGCAGGGTGTACTAGAGTAACAATACAGAGCATGATTTAAGAAATTCAAATGTCTGGGTGTATAGCAAACACTGAAGTTACAAAACATAATCACTGCTTAATTCTAAGTATTTAAACTATTCTGATTTGAATAGATATTGATATGTAAAAACATCATATTCTCATAAAATAATAATTGCCTTAGTCTTCTTAACAAAGTAGCATAACAATTTTCCAGTACACAGTACCCAAGCAAACACCACATCTGCTAAATCAAGACTCAGATTCAGACCCTCCTCAGCAGTGGCATGGTCTTCAGGGATTGTGATGACGCTCTTTACCTTCCATTATTAAAAACTTTTTCAAAAAATTGTGATGTGGCTTGGCAAAAGCAGTCTTGATCATGTCAATTCCTTTCTCTGTAGAATAGGGTCAATAATAATGCCCCACTTGCCTTACAAGGTTGTTGTGAGGACCAAATTATGGGAAAATGCTTTGTGAACCAGAAGGTTCCACACAAATGTTAGTTAGAGCAGAGCTCCTGGTTAGATTGTCCTTATGTTTTCCAGGCAGGAAGGCCAGTAAGAAAGCTGGCATTTATGTAGGACTTCTATATGGCATGTCATCTCATTCAATACCACCTCAGGTAGTGAGTGATCACATCCCATTTTACATCTAGGGCTCACAGAGGCTTAAGTAACTTACCTAAGGTAAGTCACCTAGAAAGTGGTAAAACTTTCCCCATTGCTTGTTTTTCTCAGGTTTGTCAAAGATCAGATAGTTGTAGATATGCAGCGTTATTTCTGAGGGCTCTCTTCTGTTCCACTGATCTATATCTCTGTTTTGGTACTAGTACCATGCTGTTTTGGTTACTGCAGCCTTGTAGTATAGTTTGAAGTCAGGTAGCGTGATGCCTCCAGCTTTGTTCTTTTGGCTTAGGATTGACTTGGTGATGCAGGCTCTTTTTTGGTTCCATATGAACTTTAAAGTAGTTTTTTCCAATTCTGTGAAGAAAGTCATTGGTAGCTTGATGGGGATGGCATTGAATCTATAAATTACCTTGGGCAGTATGGCCATTTTCACGACATTGATTCTTCCTATCCATGAACATGGAATGTTCTTCCATTTGTTTGTATCCTCTTTTATTTCATTGAGCAGTGGTTTGTAGTTCTCCTTGAAGAGGTCCTTCACATCCCTTGTAAGTTGGATTCCTAGGTATTTTATTCCCTTTGAAGCAATTGTGAATGGGAGTTCACTCATGATTTGGCTCTCTATTTGTCTGTTATTGACGTATAGGAATGCTTGTGATTTTTGCATATGGATTTTGTATCCTGAGACTGTTGAAGTTGCTTATCAGCTTAAGCAGATTTTGGGCTGAGAGGACAATGGGGTTTTCTAGATATACAATCATGTCGTCTGCAAACAGGGACAATTTGACTTCCTCTTTTCCTAATTGAATACCCTTTATTTCCTTCTCCTGCCTAATTGCCCTGACCAGAACTTCCAACACTATGTTGAATAGGAGTGGTGAGAGAGGGCATCTTTGTCTTGTGCCAGTTTTCAAAGGGAATGCTTCCAGTTTTTGCCCATTCAGTATGATATTGGCTGTGGGTTTGTCATAGATAGCTCTTATTATTTTGAGATACGTCACATCAATACCTAATTTATTGAGAGTTTTTAGCATGAAGCGTTGTTGAATTTTGTTAAAGGCCTTTTCTGTATCTATTGAGATAATCATGTGGTTTTTGTCTTTGGTTCTGTTTATATGCTGGATTACATTTATTGATGTGCGTATATTGAAACAGCCTTGCATCCCAGGGATGAAGCCCACTTGATCATGGTGGATAAGCGTTTTGATGTGCTGCTGGATTTGGTTTGCCAGTATTTTATTGAGGATTTTTGCATCAATGTTCATCAAGGATATTGGTCTAAAATTCAGAGATTCCCTATTTAATAAATGGTGCTGGGAAAACTGGCTAGCCATATGTAGAAAGCTGAAACTGGATCCCTTCCTTACACCTTATACAAAAATTAATTCAAGATGGATTAAAGACTTAAATGTTAGACCTAAAACCATAAAAACCCTAGAAGAAAACCTAGGCATTACCATTCAGGACATAGGCATGGGCAAGCACTTCATGTCTAAAACACCAAAAGCAATGGCAACAAAAGCCAAAATTGACAAATGGGATCTAAATAAACTAAAGAGCTTCTGCACAGCAAAAGAAACTACCATCAGAGTGAACAGGCAACCTACAAAATGGGAGAAAATTTTCACAACCTACTCATCTGACAAAGGGCTAATATCCAGAATCTACAGTGAACTCAAACAAATTTACAAGAAAAAAACAAACAACCCCATCAAAAAGTGGGCAAAGGATATGAACAGACACTTCTCAAAAGAAGACATTTATGCAGCCAAAAGACACATGAAAAAATGCTCATCATCACTGGCCATCAGAGAAATGCAAATCAAAACCACAATGAGATACCATCTCACACCAGGTAGAATGGCGATCATTAAAAAGTCAGGAAACAACAGGTGCTGGAGAGGATGTGGAGAAATAGGAACACTTTTACACTGTTGGTGGGACTGTAAACTAGTTCAACCATTGTGGAAGTCAGTGTGGCAATTCCTCAGGGATCTAGAACTAGAAATACCATGTGACCCAGCCATCCCATTACTGGGTATATACCCAAAGGATTATAAATCATGCTGCCATAAAGACACATGCACACGTATGTTTATTGTGGCACTATTCACAACAGCAAAGACTTGGAACCAACCCAAATGTCCAACAATGACAGACTGGATTAAGAAAATGTGGCACATATACACCATGGAATACTATGCAGCCATAAAAAATGATGAGTTTATGTCCTTTGTAGGGACATGGATGAAATTGGAAATCATCATTCTCAGTAAACTATTGCAAGAACAAAAAACCAAACACTGCATATTCTCACTCATAGGTGGGAATTGAACAATGAGAACACGTGGACACAGGAAGGGGAACATCACACTCTGGGGACTGTTGTGGGGTGGCGGAGCGGGGAGGGATAGCTTTAGGAGATATACCTAATGCTAAATGACGAGTTAATGGGTGCAGCACACCAGCATGGCACATGTATACATATGTAACTAACCTGCACATTGTGCACATGTACCCTAAAACTTAAAGTATAATAATAATAAAATTAAAAAAAAAAAAAACGAAAGTGGTAAACCTAGGATTTGAACCTGTCTGATGTCTCAAAAACACAAGTATTCTTAGGACTAGCTTTAACATCTAATTGATTATTTAGGTCTCAGAAAGAAAAATGAATGACAGTATCTGGTTTTTATATAACCATAAAGGCTCTCATCACCACCCTCATACTCAAGCTTTCAGCTTTTCCAAGATATCATGTAAAATGTGTTAAACCTTCTGAAAGGGCTAAAGCCAGTGGGATGAAACACTCAGTACCACATTCCTGAGTAGAGCTCAGGAAATAAAAACAAAGGCAGAGATAGTCAGTTGTAACAAAAGTAAACAATTAAAACCTCAATAGCATTGCCTGCCAAAGACTGCATCCCTTAGCCCCAGCTGGGCACATACAAGCCTCAGTGACTATTGATTATGATTCAGTGATCTAAAGAACATCTTTTTATTTTGGTCTTACTGTCTTAGTCTGTTTAGTGTTGCTATAAAGAAATACCTGAGGCTGTGTAATTCATAAAGAAAAGAGGTTTATTTGGCTCACAGTTCTGCAGGCTAAACAAGAAGCACGGCACCAGCATCTGCATCTGATAAGGGCCTCAAGCTGCTTCCACTGGTGGTGGAAGGTAAAGGGGAGCCAATATGTGCAGAGATCACATGGTGAGTGAGTGGATGCAAGGTAGAGGGAGGTGCCAGATTCTTTCAAACAACCAGCTCTTGGGGCATCTCTCAAGGTAACAAAAGAGCTAGAACTTGTTCACTTTCCTTCTCCCAGAGAGAGCACTAATCTATTAATGAGAGATCCACCTCCATGACCCAAACCCCTCTCATTTAGCCCTACCTCCAAAACGGGATAAAATTTCAACATTAGACTTGGAGGGATCAGATATCCAAACCCCAGCACTCATCTAACATCACTCGCAAGATGCAAACTTTACTGCTTATGGGCTAGAACTCTCCCTATCTTAGCTATAAGGGCAGCAGAGGGACCACACTGCTGATTTTTCCTGTGTGTGGTAGGGCACCATGGCAGAATGAAGAAAAGGGCACATATGCAGGGGTCAGAGAGACATGGCTGTGAACTGAACTCACTGAGCACCCTGGGCCAGTCCTTGCTTATCCATCTGTAATGCTTCTTCATCTTGAAGCATCTGCCTCTGGAATAATTGAGGAGACTTAGGTAAACTGTCAGCAAATCCTTGTGAACATAGTAGGCACAAAGGAGGGTATAGCTTCTATATTAATAATGACTTATGAACTGGCTAATGTCCACTAGTAATTGTTTTTGTTTTTTTAAACAAATAGATATTCTCTGTAGCAGACTAAAGATAACTGTTATAAGCTGTTGCTCCTCTTTTCTTTGAGAAGTGAAGCCTAATTCCTCTTCCCCTGAGTTACTGTTGGTCTTACTTCCTCAGATAGTACAATGTGGCATGCGTATTATTCTGGGACTTTCAAGATTAATTCATAATAAATCTTCTAAGCCTTGCCCAAGCCTCATACTGGTAGCTGCCTTATAAGAATTCTGACCAATCTGAAGCCACCATGTTGTGGGGGAGCCCAAACTTTCCATGTGAGATGACCTCAGGGAGCCCTCAGCCATTAGAGTCATTCCAGCCTAGGTCCCAAACACTCTGCAGTGGAGACAGTAGGTTCTGCTAAGCCCTGCTCAAATTACAGATTCATGAACGAAATAAATAACTGTTATTTGCTTTAAGCCACAAGGTTTTAGACTAGTTTGTTATGTAATAATGAAAAACCAGAATACTCAATCATGATTTTTTATCCAAATTAAAAATATATATATTTTTATCATGAGTTATATAAAATATATGAGTTATATAAAATAACATATTGTGTGTGTTGATGCTAGTTCTCAAGTCTATTTTAGACACAGACTAAATGTCTTAAAAACATTCTGTTTGTGGACAATGTTAACATACACATAACTTAATAACTGGCTGACCAGTGACATATAGGAGCTATTGTGTGTATATGCATGTCAGTAATCAGGGTGGTTTAGTGAGGGCCACTACCTACCTCCTAACCAGCAGGAAACTACATATTCTGGACTGTTTGCATTTCCCAGCAAGCTTTGCAAACAGCAAGGTGTTAAGACACAGTCGTTTTCTGTAGCTAGCCAGATGATGTTTGAACCCCCTTCAGCATTCAGAGTTGCTCAATATAAGAGGATGGACCTCGTCATAGGATAAGTCTTGTCTCTCTGGACTGCAGGATAATTTACTGATGCCTTTCAAATAACATACGACCCTAAAATATTATGCAAACTTTGGGGCATACAATCGGCATAGGTGAACTCAACAAACATTTTGCTGTTCCAAAATCTACTCTGTTGTTCTTTATTTCCTGTTTTTCTGGCTACAAAGCCTTCCTACCCTTCTCTGAGGGGTATGTGTGTATGTGTGTATGTAAAATCCTATTTATCCTTCATATGTCTCCTCTCCCATCAAGGCAGAGTTAATCATTCCTTGATGACATTGCTTCTTTAATCTTTAAAGCCTATTCTTTAACAAACAAGCTTATCATTTTTTAAAAAGCAACAAACTGGCAGTCCCATAGAACACATGGAAAAGGAACATGAGAAAGTCCCTATAACACTTGGCGACTTTCCACCAGGCTGAAACAGGCTGACGTGATATGTGTTTTAGGGATTAGAATTCAGCAGAAGAAATGAGTCAATTAAAACGCCCGGCCAGAATGCTGTCTGTAGATGAAGTGCTTTGCACTGGGGGTACAACATAAGCTGAATTACTAAATTCTAAGGGCTGACTGACTGGTGATTTGCATCTCAATATCTTTTCATTTTATTCTCTCAACAAAAGTTAACAAGGAGCCACTCAGCCTAGGAAAGATAGGTACTTCATTTACCTTAGCAAGAACAAGACAAACAATAACTCCCAATTTTCCAACTCACTGGCTTTGGTTTGACCTGGAGCGGGTAATGCCTATTGTCTTAAGTGGGTTAACTGGAACATCAAACCCACCAATTGGTTTTGGCTTTTACATTCATTCAGTAGCAATTCTAATCCCAAAGAAAGTACAATCACTACATGGCAATTGGTGCTTTGTGGCACTATACCCAAAACACATGAGTGATGTGCAAAAAGAAAGTCATAATTGAACACTCTTTATTCCACCACAAAACCAAGAAGTCACATTTTCACCACTTGTTATTTGAGAACCATGTATAGCTATGCATAACATTTTAAGCCAAAGGCTGTATGGCAACAGGTTCTATGTGTTAAAATACAGAAAATACAACCTACCATTTCCTCTTCATGAGGAATCTACAGCAGGTCATCCTGGAAGAATACTAAACTAAAGGCAATAATGTTTTTGGACACTCATTCCCAAATTAACTATGCTTAATACATCAATTTAGAATTATTATAATGGAGTTTAAATTATAACTGATGTCCAAGTTGTAACTATAACTGATGTTAAAACTTCCCTTTGGAATTTAGGAAAAACTGACCAGCATTAACATTAAAACAGAGATCTTAGAATGACTTAACGCTTGATACTTCATCTAGATGAAGCAGAGTGAAACTTTACTGTCCTCTTTCACCGATCCAACCCTGGTCTCCGTCCAAAAAGTAAGTTGTGGGTACCCAGCAAATAATAACATTAGTATATTTTAGGAAAGAAGAAATACAGTGTCAACTTACTTAACAGTTGGCAATAGAGGGCCTGTAAACTTCTCTTCATGGTATCATCTGGTCCTGCTTATCCTCCAGTTTATTCATGATTCTGTCTAGGAAATTGGGAGAAGAAAATTGTTACATCTGAGGAACATAATTTAAAAATCAGAAATAACTCCACTCAATAGGATCTTGGTTATAATGCCTAACTTACCCAATTTCAAAGAGAAAAAATCTTGGGATAAATACACCACAGTTTAATTTACAATGGTGTATGTTATAAAATTACCAACTAATCAACTGGTCGAACCCTGAAACTATACACCCCACTGAAGGAAGCTCATAGGGGTAGCTAGTGAGAATCTGGGTTCAGAATTGAAGACTTTTTATGAATCTCTCATGAATCTCTGTAATCACAGGAGAAACAAAAAATTTATTTTCTCATCTCATTTCTGCTAAGGTGCTCACAAAACAAGCAAACACCCAAATAAAACAAACAAAAAACAAGCCAGAAAGCTTCGCCACACTTGAAACTGTATTATTTTAAATAACTTTTCTATTATTTTCTGATTACAAGGATACTTCTGGTATGGATTATTTAGAAAAAGTAAACAGAAAATACAGATAAAAATAAACAAGAAAATATATATTATCCATAATCCCACAAATAAGAGGTGATTACTGCTCACATTTTAGAGTGTATCTCTTTAGCCTTTTGAATGTGCACTTCTATTGGTCTGTTTCATTTTATATTTAATTTTTAATTTAATTTTTCTCCTTAGCAGCAGAAATAGCTTTGTGTTATTACTATTACTTTACAATTTTATTTTACATGGCAAATGTGTTTCTTTAAGATAAATTCCTAGAAATGGAAACACATTATGGAAGGACATAAATTAAGGCTTTTTGAAATAAATATATTACCAAATTGCTCCTCACCAATACTAGTATATTAGAATAATCATTAGACTACACTCTACCCAAGGAAGAAATTAATAATTTCATCTCTGCCGAGAGGCAAATATTCGGTCTCAATGTTTTAATTTGCATTTTATGTTTATTGGTCATTTGTATATAAAATTTTTAAAATTTACATTCTTTAACAATTCTCTACTAGCATGCCAGGTTTTTTGTTTTCTCATGACATCCCAAGTAGAACTATCTATCTATCTTTAATTTTTTTTTTTTTACTGAGATATAACTCATACATAAAATTCAGCCTTTAAGGTATACAATTCAGTGATTGGGAATATATTCAAAAGTTGTCCAACCATCACCACTACCTAATTCCAGAATGTTTTCATCACTCAAAAATGAAATCACCATGTTTACTATAAGTCACTCCCCAATTTCCCCTCCTTTGGCAACCATTAATCTATTGTCTCTATGGATTTGGCTATTCTGGACATTTTATATAAACAGAATCATATGTGTCTGGCTCTTCCACTCAGCATAATGTTTTCATTTTATTTTATGTTTTTTTTTGAGACGAAGTCTCACTCTGTCGCCAGGCTGGAGTGCAGTGGCGTGATCTCAGCTCACTGCAACCTCCACCACTTGGGTTCAAGTGATTCTCGTGCCTCAGCCTCCCAAGAAGCTGGGATTATAGGCACACACCACCACATCCAGCTAATTTTTGTATTTTCAGTAGAGACAGGGTTTCACCATGTTGGCCAGGATGGTCTTGATCTCCTGACCTCATGATCTGCCCATCTCAGCCTCCCAAAGTGCTGGGATTACAGGTGTGAGCCACCATGCCTGGCCTCAGCATAATGTTTTTAAGGCTCATCAATGTTATATAACATTCTAGGTTTTCAAGTGTTTTTTTTAATAAGAATTCTACCTACCTCACAGACACTCTACCATGGTTAGAAAGGCCTTCCTTAGGCCGGGCGCGGTGGCTCACGCCTGTAATCCCAGCACTTTGGGAGGCCGAGGCGGGCGGATCACGAGGTCAGGAGATCGAGACCATCCTGGCTAACACGGTGAAACCCCGTCTCTACTAAAAATACAAAAAATTAGCCGGGCGAGGTGGTGGGCGCCTGTAGTCCCAGCTACTTGGGAGGCTGAGGCAGGAGAATGGCGTGAACCCCAGGGGGCGGAGCCTGCAGTGAGCCGAGATTGCGCCACTGCACTCCAGCCTGGGCGACAGCGAGACTCTGTCTCAAAAAAAAAAAAAAAAAAAAAAAGAAAGGCCTTCCTTAGTCCAAGATTATATAAATACTTGCGCATATTTTCTTCCTGATATAGTTTGGCCATGTCCCCACCCAAATCTCATCTTGAATTCCCACATGTTGTGGGAAGGACCTGGTGGCAGGTAATTGAATCACGGGGGTGGGTCTTTCCCGTGCTGTTCTCATGATAGTGAATAAATCTCACAAGATCTGATGGTTTTAAAAATGGGAGTTTCCCTGCACAAGCTCTCTCTCTTTGCCTGCCACCATCCACATAAGATGTGACTTGCTCCTCCCTTGCCTCCCACCATGATTGTGAGGCCTCCCCAGCCATGTGGAACTGTAAGTCCATTAAACCTCTTTCTTTTGTAAATTTCCCAGTCGCGGGTATGTCTTTATTAGTAGTGTGAAAACAAACTAATACACTTCCAGTATTTTTTATTTCATTTATTATATTCTAAATATTTTCCTATTCTTAGATATTATAAACCAAAAATAAAATTCTAAGCACCCCAACTGACTGAATGGCTCCCTCCTCTCAGCCAAGGGAATTCCAAAGAAACCTGAAAAACTAGCTCAGGCCATGATGGGAAGTGGGGGCCAGACATGCCTTATTATACTTTCTTCCCTTTGGATTTGAAGCAAAACGGACCAGCATTAACATTAAAACAGTGATCTTAGAACTCACAGAACAGATTGTTTGTAGTAACAAGATACCAAATTCCAACCTGACTCTAGTTTAGCATCACATGACAGATAGCAGGCCCTGAAAAATATCAAAGTATTTTACCCAAAAATATATTTCTTTGACATATTTTAAATGGTCCTGCAAAGCTATCTCTTGTAGAGGAAATTTACATACTGCAGAGAATTCCCTTGCCTTTCCAGGTCTTTTTCTGATCCTGGAAAGATTAGCTGAGAGTCTAGCACCTTTTAAATGACTGAACAGGAAACATTTGCAATCTATTACCTCTAAGGGCAGCCATTTTATGTGCATAATGAGAATCTTGGTTTCCACCACCAATTATCTTAACCCAGACACTCCTTTCTATTGATTCCAGGTCTTCAAATAATATTAATAACTCCTTCAACAAACTGCCAACCAGAAAATCTTTGAATACACCTATGACCTGTAAGCCCTTGCTTTGAGTTGTCTCACCTTTCTAGACCAAAACAATGTATACCTCACATGTATTGACTGATGTCTTATAAAACTTATAAAACGAGGTTGTAACCCAACCATCTTGGGCACATGTTCTAAGGACCTCCTGAGACTGTGTCGCAGGTCTTGGTCCTCACATTTGGCTCAGAAGAAATCTCTTCAAATATTTTATGGAGTTTGGTTTTTTCATCAACAATCTGTTTCTGGACTTTGTATTAAGTTTTATATTTTTCTGTTTGCTCATTCTTCAACTAGAACAATAAGTGTTTAAATTAAACCACTTGTACAGTGAGTTCTATATTATTACTCTTTTTAAAAAGACTTGTTACTTGAGATTGCTTTTTTTTTACCCCCCTCCAAAATTGACTTTAAGATCACTTTATTAAAATCCAGAAAAGGTACATTGGGATTATAGTCAGAATTACCTTCTATTTGCTTTATTAATTTGGGAGAGACTGACTTGATCTCATCAAAATCCAGCTAGGGTGAGGAAGAACATAAGTATTCCAAAACGTATTGCTCTGGAAATCAGAAGAATTCCTTTCAGGGGCTGGGAAGTGTTCTTCTTTGGGGGAGGGGGGTACAACAGCTCAATGACTTTTTTGGCTAGGCAAATTCGTCCCCCACCACCAGTGTGATTTGTATGAGGAAGAAAAAGAAAGATAAAGTGCTCTACATTACACAAAAATTAATTAGGGGCTGGGCGCGGTGGCTTATGCCTGTAATCCCAGCACTTTGGGAGGCCAAGGTGGGTGGATCACGAGGTCAGGAGATCGAGACCATCCTGGCTAACACGATGAAACCCTCTCTCTACTAAAAATACAAAAAATTAGCCGGGCATGGTGGCACGCACCTGTAGTCCCAGCTACTCAGGAGGCTGAGGCAGGAGAATTGCTTGAACCCAGGAAGTGGAGATTGCAGTGAGCCAAGATTGCACGCCATTGCACTCCAGCCTAGGCGGCAGAGCAGGACTCCAACTCAAAAAAAAAAAAAAAAAAAATTAGGAGGTTTGAGTTTCCAGAGGCTATGGCTAGGAAAAAGGAGTTAAAGGGTCTAGAAATTAGAGAGGCTGAGGAGACGATACACAAGAAATATTGAGACAGGAGAGGCAACTCCAAAAGATGGTAGCAGGTGGGACCTAAGGATGAAGGATAAAGTGAGAAATTCCCCACAGGAGATGCCCCATGAATGTTAAGATGTCTAATATTTAATTTTTCATTGCTTCTTGTTTTATGCACATATACACTATATATGTATTAGTCTGCTTTCATGTTGCTGATAAAGACATACCCAAGACTGGGTAATTTATAAAGAAAAAGACGTTTAATGGACTCACGTTCCACACGGCTGGGGAGGACTCACAATCATGGTGGAAGGCAAAAAGCACATCTTACATGGCAGCGGGCAAGAGAGAAAAGAGCCAAGCAAAAGGGATTTCCCCTTATAAAACCATCGGATCTCATGACACTTATTCACTACCATGAGAACAGTATAGGGAAAACCACCCCCATGATTCAATTATCTTCCACTGAGTCCCCCTTCCCACAACATGTGGGAATTATAGGAGCTACAATTTAAGATGAGATTTGGGTGGGAACACAGCCAAACTGTATCAATATGCTACATCTGTGTTCCTTTTCCACAATGCTCATCCACAACCAGTATTGTCAAAACCTCAGTAAAAGTCTGACACAAAACAGCCTTGTATTAGTGATGCTTGACAGGGGCAATGAAAGAGAAGAGACCATGTTTCAAGTCAAGGGCGACCCACAAGCAGTCAGAGGCAGCAGCCTTAGGAGCCACAGCAATGGTTAGTGGGTATCTATGGAGCGTTTAGAATGTGGTAGGCATTCAATAAATGCTTAGTAAATAAACAATGAATGAATGAATAAATAAATGATCAATAACAAGAGAAGAGAGAAACAGTTGTGGTTTAATATATTGATCAAGGGGATTATAAGCCCTTCAGTAGTCTCTGGAAATTCTTAAAGATTTTTGAAAAAGTGACAGACTTCCCATAATACATGGAACAGGTTCACCTTATTCAGTTATCAAAAACAACTGAGCCTATAAATCTAGGAGATTTGGGATCAACTGGGTTACACAGGGCTATCCCAACTAGAAGCACCATTTGGCTATTTATTAAAAATTAATCTTAATTAGGTCTTCTTGTAGAGCTTCAGTGTTTTTCTTTAAGTTCTACAGTCCTGTCAAGTTTTATAGCTTTTAGACATTTTATATTTATTTTTTCACAGTGATAGAATTTCTGTTTCCATTATATTTCCTAATTGCCTCTATATAAAAATGACTGACATTAATTTTGTGACCTTACTGAACTAACTTACTATTCTAATGATGGTTTCTCAGCTGAATCTCTTGGGTCAATTGCGCTGCTTTGGATAGATGGCAAGCCACAGTTAGATTCCATCAGAAGCCTCTTTCAACCATATAATAGAAAATATTAATCACATCAGTCTGGTCCCTCAGAGAATAATTTACGAGGATAACAATTTGGGGGATGAAATCCTAAGAAAGTACAGAGTTACATCCAAAAGCACTGCATAAAGGAAAAACAACCCACCCTTGCAACCCATGCTCCAGGCCCATGCCTATAGACCCAATAACAGGTCTACTACAGTAGTTTTAAGCTCCAGGTTCAATTCCATACACTCGGGTACCAGGCTGACCACCTGCTGACCGAGATATGAAGCCAGGCTGCCCGAAGACTCCAACAGCATGCCTGCTAATGGACAACATCAGACGACCTGCTCAGAATCTCTGGACAGGTTGACTGAAAAAGGGCTTTCCCAAACAAAGCAAGTCTGCAAATACTGGAATAAGTCCCTATTTCTTCAAACGCACAGACACCAACACATGGCAACAAGGATGAGGAACAATCAAAGAAACATGACACCACCAAAGAATAAAATTATGCACCAGTGACCAACCCTAAAGAAACAGAGACTTATAAACTGCCTAACAAAGAATTCAAATAATTGTATAACCAGCCTGGGCAACAAGGCAAGACCCCATTTCTACAAAAAAAATTTAAAAATTAGCTGGGCATGGTGATGTGTGCCTATGGTCCCAGCTTCTTGAGAGGCTGAGGTAGAAGTATTGCTTGCGTCTGGGAAGTTCAAGCTGTAGTGAGCCATAATCATGCTCCAGCCTGGGTGACAGAGTGAGAAAAAAAAAGTACAAATAATTGTATGAAGGAAGTTAAGTGCAGAGAAACAATTCAACAAAATCAGGAGAATAATAAATGACCAAAATGAGAAATTTAATAGAAATTGAAATTATTTAAAAACAAGAAAACAAAGTAGACAATTCTGGAGCTGAAAAGTATAATACAATGAAAGAAATGAAAAATGCAATAGAAGGCATCAACAACAGAAATGGTCAAGCAGAAGAAAAATTTGTGAACTTGAAGACAAGTTATTTGAAAATATATAGTCAGAGGAGAAAAAAATAATAAAAAGGAATGAAGAGAGCTTATGGGATTAGTGGAGCAACAACAAAAGAGCAAATATTTGAATTATAGGAGGGTTAAGAAAAAGACAAAGGAACACAAAGTTTAAAAATAAATAATAGAAAAGTTTTCAAATCTGGGAAAAGACATAAATATCCAGGTACAGGAAGGTCAAAGGCTTCCAATAAGATTCAATTGAAACAAGACAGATGATATATTATAATTGAACTGTTGGGTCCTGAAAGCAGCAAGAGAAAAGAAGCAAATAACATAAAATGGAGTTCCAAAAAGGCTGCAGTTTCTCAGCAGAAACCTTATAGGTGAAGAGAGAGTGGGATGATATATTCAAAGTACTGAAGGAAAAAAAAATTGCCAAAAAAACCCCTGAAACCAGCAAAGCTGTCCTTCTGAAATAAAGAAGAGATAAAGACTTTTCCAGGCAAACAAAAGCTGAAGGAGTTCATCACCACCAGGCGTGTCTTACAAGAACTGCTAAAGGGAGTTCTCTGAGCTAAAAGAACACTAATTAATACAAGAAAACATATGAAAGCATAAAACTTACTGGTAAAAATAAGTGCATAGTCAAATTCAGAATACTCTAATACTATAATGGTGGTATGTAAATCACCTTTATCTTTAGTATGGAGGTTAAAATATAAAACTATTAAAATAATAAGAGCTATGGTAATTTGTTGAAGGATACACAATATAAAAGATGTAAACTGTAACATCAAAAATTTAAAATATAGGGAAGTGGAGTAAAATTGTAAAGGTTTATTTTGCAATCAAAGTTAAGTTGTTATCAGCTTGAAAAAAGGCTTTTATAAGTTGCTTTATGTAAGCCTCATGGTAAACACAAAGCAAAATACTATAGTGGAGCCACAAAAGTGAAAAAAAAAAAAAAAAAAAAAAAGGAATCAATGTAATCAATGTATGCCACTAGAGGAAGACACCTGATCACAAAGGAAGGCAGCAAGAGAGGAAGAAAGGATCAAAGGATCTACAAAACAACCATGAAACAATTAACAAAGTGACAGTAGTAAGTCTGTAAAATAATAAGAAATATGTATTAGACCCTTCTCCTAGTCATTGCACAAAACTCCTTATAATTTACTGAGTGATAGGAGTGCCAGGAGAATCTTTTGTTCTAATATTTGGTCTTGGCACCAGTTCCTGACACAAAGCCCCTATGACCTTTGTTATTTCCTGAGTGATAGGAGCATTCAACACAGAGTTCCTAAATCCCTTGGAATTCCTCAGTGATAGGAGCATCTTTTTTTCTAATGAGGCAATTCTTGGTGGGCTCCTGGGTGGGGGCTGGTCACCAGAAAAATCAAGCCATGAATATAGCTTGCAGCTTTCAGCCCCATCCTACATTCTCCAGAGAGAAGAGAGGAGCTACAAATTGAGTTAATTAATCAATCATGCCTATGTGATGAAGCCTTCATAAAACTCCAAGAACTACAGGGTTTAGAGAGCTTACTGGTTGGTAAACACTTCCATATGCTGAGAGGGTGGTATACCCCAACTCCACAGGGACAGAAGCTCCTATGCTTGGGACTGTTCTAGACTTTACACTATTTATGTCTTTATCTGGCTGTTCACCTGTATCCTTTATTATTTCATTTATTAATAAACTGGTACATGTAAGTAAAGCACTTTCTGAGCTCTATGAGCCACTCTAGCAAGTTAATCAAACCCAAGGAGAGGGTAGTGGTGGTCCCAATTTACAGCCAGTTGGTCAGAAGTATAGGTGACAACCTACTACTTCTGATTGACATCTAAAGTAGGGAGCAGTCTTGTGGGACTGAGCCCTTAACCTGTAGGATCCAATCCTACCTCCAGGTAGCTACTGTCAGAATTAAAAATTGAATTATAGGATACTCAGCTGGTGTCCATGGGAGAATTGCTTCATGTGTAGGGAAATACCCTCACACATTTGGTGTCAGAAGTGTTGAGTAGTGTGAGAGTAAAGGTAAATAAATACATAAATTTATTCAAATGTATTTATTTGAATATTTTTTATTCAAAAGTGGAATAACGTAGAATAAATGAATAAACTCCTTCTAAAAAGTCCTTATCAATAATTACCTTGATTATAAATGGATTACATTATCAAATCAAGAAACATAAGCTGGGCATGGTGGTGCACACCTGTAGTCCTAGCTAGTCAGGAGGCTGAGGCAGGAGGATCACTTGAGCCCAGGAGTTTGAGACTACAATAAGCTATGATCATGCTGCTGCACTCCAGCCTGGTCAACGCAGTGAGACTTCATCTCTTAAAAAAAAAATGACTGGATGAATAATAATAAAAAAGACTCAACTATATACTGCCTACAAGAGACTCATTTCACCTTTAAGGACACATACAAAATGAAAGTGAAGGGATGGAAAAATAATCCATGCAAACAGAAATAAAAAGAGAGCAGGGTAACTATACTTTTATCGGATAAAAAAGACTTTTAGTCAAAAACCGTAAAAAAAAAAAAAACCGAAGAAACAAAAAACATCATTATATAAGGATGAAAGGTTCAATTCATCAAGAGGATATAACAATTATAAATACATATGCATCCAACATTGGAGCACCTACATACATAAAAAATATTAATAGATCTGAAAGGATAGACTCTTAATAATAGCAGGGGACTTCAAGGCTCCACTTTCAACAATGGATGGATATCCAGACAGAAGATTAAGAAAGAAACATTGACTTAAACTACATTTTAGAGCAAATGGTACAGACATATATAGAACATTCCACCTAAGAGCAGCAGAATACACATTCTTCTCAAGCACACATAAAACATTTTCCAGGATAGACTATATATAACACAAGTCTTAAGTTTAAGAAGGTCTAAATCACATGAAATATATTTTCCAACCACAATAGTATAATACTAAAAGTCAATAACAGGAGGAATTTCAGAAAATTCACAAACACTTAGAAATTAAACAACATGCCCCTGAGCAACCAAAGAATAAATTAAATGGAAGAATAAAAATTATCTTGAGACAAATGAAAATAAGCACATACTACACCAAAGCTTGAAGGATGCAAAACAAAAGCGGTTCTAAGAGGAAAATTTACAGCAATAAAAGCCTACATCAAAAAAGAATATTTCAAATAAATAAACTAACATCATACATCAACAAAATAGAAATAAAAGAACAAATTAAGCCCAAAGTTAGAAGGAAGGAAATAATAAAGGCCAAAGCATAAATAAATGACAGAGAGACCATATAAACAATAGAAAAGATCAATGAAACTGAGAGGTGGTAATCAACAAACTTTTAGCTAGACTAAGAAAAGAGAATACTCAAAGTTAGAAATGAAAGAAAAGACATTACAATGAATACTACAGAAATACAAAGGATCATAACAGACTACTGTGGACAATTATATGCCAACAAATTGAATAATCTAGAAGAAATGGATAAACTTCTAGAGACATACAACCTACTAAGAGCGAATCATGAAGAAATAGAAATTCTGAACAGACCAGTAACAAGTAAGGAAATTGAATCAGTAATTAAAAGTCTCCCATTAGAGAAAAGCCCAGGGCCTGATGACTTAACTACTTAACTCTACCAAACATTTAAAGAAGAACTAATACCAATCCTTCTCAAACTCTTCCAAAAAAAACTTAAGAAGAGGGAATAATTACAACTCATTTTTAGAAGGCTAGCCTTACCCTGATACCCAAGCCAGACAGGGATACTACAGGAAAAGAAAATTATAGGTCAGCATCCCTGATGAATATAGGACACAAAAATCCTCAACAAAATGCTTGCAAACAAAGTTCAACAGCACATCAAAAGGATTATTCACCAAGATTAAGTGAAATTTATCCCAGAGATGCAAGGATGCTTCAACATACACAAGTCTACTAATTAAAGAATGAAGAACAAAAATAACATTATCATTTCAAAAGTCAAACCGTTTGAAAAAATTCAACATCCTAACATGATAATAAAAACTCTCAATAAATTAAGTATACAATAAAAGTAACTCAATGCAACAAAGGCCATATATGACAAACCCACAGCTAACATATGCAACAATGTAAAATTGAAAGCTTTTCCTTTAAGATCAGGAACAAGACAAAGAAGCCATTACTGTCACTTCTATTCAATATAGTACTAGAGTCCTAGCCAAAGCAGTTAGGCAAGAGAAAGAAATAAAAGGCATCCAAACTGGAAAGAAAAAAATTAAATGTCTCTGTCTGCAGATGACATAATATTATATATAGAAAACCTTAAAGAATCCACCAAAACACTGTTAAAACTGACAAATCCAGTAAAGTTGCAGAATACAAGAAACAAACACACATAATTAGTTGCATGTCTATACACTAACAACAAACTATCTAAAGAGAGCAATAAAACAATCCCATTTGCAATAGTTATAAAAAAATACTTAGAAATAAATTGAACCAAGAAGATGGAAGACCTGTACACAGAAAACTACAAACTATTAATGAAAGAAATTGAAGACATAAATAAATGGAAAGACATCCTATGTTCATGGATTGGAAAAATTAATGTTAAAATGTCCATACTAACTAAAGAAATATACAGATTCAATGCAATTCCTATCAAAATTCCAATGACATTTTTTACAGAAAGAGAGAAAACAATCCTGAAATTGGTAATGAACCACAAAGACTCCAAATAGCCAAAGTAATCTTGAGCAAAAAGAACAAATATGGAGGCATCACACTACCTGACTTCAAAATACACCACAAAACTATAGTAATCAAAACTGTTTGGTATTGACATAAAAACAGACCTATGAAACAGAACAGAGAGCCCAGAAATAAATCTGTGCATTTATGGCCAATTGATTTTTGACAAAGATGCCAAGAACACATTAACAGGGAAAGGACAATCTCTTCAATAAATGGCATTGGGAAAATTGAATATCAACATGCAGAAATAATGAAATTAGACTACTATGTCACCAATATATAAAACTCAATTCCAAATAGATTAAAGATGTAAATATAAGACTGAAACTGTAAATCTACTACTAGAAGAAGACATATGGGAAAATCTCCATGACATTGGTTTGGTCAATGATTTTTTGGATATGACCCCAAAGCACAAGCAACAAAAGCAAAAATAAACAAATCAGATTACATCAAACAAACAAGCTTTTATACAGCAAAAGAAACAATCAACAGAGTTATGAGACAATCTATGGAATGGGAAAATGTATTTGAAAACTGTGCATATGATAAAGGATTAATATACAAAATATATAAAGAACTCAACTCAATAGTAAGAAAACAACCAGATTAAAAAATGAGCAAAAAAACTGAATAGACATTTCTCAAAAGAGGATATACCCATGGTCCAGAGGTTCATGAAAAAATGCTCAACATCACTGTACACTAACAACAGAGAGATACAAATCAAAACCACAATGAGACATCAACTCACATCTGTTAGAATGGCTATTACCAAAAAGATCCAAGATAAATTTTGGCAAAGATGTGAAGAAAAGGGAACTCTTGCACACTGTTGATCGGAAGGTAAATTAGTACAACTATTATGGAATACAGTAGCGAGGTTCCTGAAAAAATAAAAACTAAAACTACCACATAATCCATCAATCCCACTACTGGGTATATATTCAAGGAAAATGAAATCAGTATGTAGAGATATGCACGTCCATGTTCACTGTAGCAATATTCACAACAGTCAAGATATGAAATCAACCTAAGTATCTGTCAACAGATGAATGGTTAAAGAAATTGTGGTATATATATACACACAATGGAATACCATTCAGCATTTAAAAAGAAGCAATTCCTGTCATTTGTAACATGGATAAACTTGGAAGATAGTAAGTGAAATAAGCCCAGCACAGAAAAACAACTACCATACGATCTCACTTATACGTTTAATCTAAAAAAGTTGAACTAATAGAAGCAGAGTAGAACGGTGGTTACCAAGGGCTTGGGGAGAGGGAGTTGGGGAGACGTTATTTGAAGGATACAAAGTTTCAGTTAGGACAAATAAATTCAAAAGATTTATTGTATAACATGGTGACAATAGTTAATAATAACATATTGTATTCTTGGAAATCACTAAGAGTAGATTTTAAGTGTTCTCACCATAAAAAATATGCAAGGGAAAGCATTTGACCACACATATGACATAGTGGCACAGGTGGGGACTTCACTGATTATTAGCACAAGAGAAACACAGGGATATGAGTAACCTGGACCATACCTTACTTAAGGAGAGTGAGCCTAATAGAACCTTGCTTCTCAAGCTTAAGTGGGACAGTCATATATCACTTGCACTGAGTCAGAAGGAATACTTCTCAATTTCATAGAACACTAAAAATGTTCTAATTAAAAATGTCTATGGTGTCAGAAAATAGCCATAAAGAGCCAAATGAAAAGCTCTGATATTTGATATGCAGATTGACTTGAAATGACAAGTACATGAAGAGCAAGTAAGGAGGAACAGCCAGGAAATCTCTGGGGAAAAAAAAACAAGGTGGTGTGGGGGCAACTGCTGGCCTTATCAGATACTAAAACATACTCTAAAGCCTCTATAAAGCATTTGATATTGGCACACGAGTAGGCCCAATGATATATGAAAATTTAGGATTGATAAAGGCAGCATATCAAATCAGTTGGGGAAAATATAAGCATTTAACAAATGTTGAGATACTGGTTGAGCAATATGGAAAATGGTAAAACTATACTCATTCCAAACACCATACCGCAACTTAAATTCCAAATCGATCAGATATTTAAATGTAAAAAAGCATAAAAGCACTAGGAAAAAAAATACAGGTATATTCTACTATTATTTGTGAGTACAGAAGCTTTGCTAATTCTGACTCAAAATCTAAAGCAATAAGGAAAAAGACTGATAAACTTTATTATACATATAAATTCAGTAAAAATACAAAGCAAAAGTAAAAATGAAAAAAACAAAAACTCTTCAACTTATAACAGGCAAGGGGTTAATATCCCTAAAATTTCTTTGTAATCCCAAAATAAATACTTGCAATGCTTTCATGGTCATTAGTGGACACGCATAGAGTGGCAAAAAATTTCAGTCAATCAACGCATACATTCCCAGCTTAAGATGAACAAGGTGATGCTCCATCTTTCTTGTTTCAGCTCTTTACTGGAAACAAATGTCCTCTCCATGGACTATTTAGTGCTTTTTTTTTTTTTTTTACATTTTTATGCTTTTGTGTTGGTGATTTTACTATTAAATATGGCTTGCAAGCAAAGTGCTGAGATGCTGTTTAGTGTTTCTAAGCACAGTAAGTTGTGATGTAGCTTTTACAGAAAATGCTGTAGATTAGCTTCATTCAGGCATAAGTTACAGTGCTGTTGGCCATAAGCTCAATGTTAGTGAATCAACAATACATACTAAATAAGGTGTCTTTAATCAGAAACACATAAAAGAAGGGTACATACTGATCAGTTGATAAAAGTTTGTGAGAGGCTCAAAGGAAACTAACCTTCTATTTCTCTTATGAGAAATGGTTCCAAATTAGATAATTCAACATTCATGGAGACTATATACAATAGCAGCCCCCAACCTTTTTGGCACCAGGGACCAGTTTCGAGAAGGACAATTTTTCTACAGACCTGGGGTGGGGGACATGGTTTTGGGATGAAACTGTCCCACCTCAGATCATCTGGCATTAGATTCTTATAAGGAACATGCAACCTAGATCCCTCACACACACAGTTCACGATAGGGTTCCTGCTCCTATGAGAATGTAATGCCACCACTGATCTGACAGGAGGTGGAACTCAGCTGGTAATGCTCCCTCACCTGCAGCTCACCTCCTGCTAATGCATCCTGGTTCCTAACAGGCCATGGACTGGTACCAGTCTGTGGCCCAGGGGTTGGGGGATGCCGGTTATATAACGTAACTAACATGAATAACAAGAATTGACTGTAGTTGAATTGAGATTTAAAATATTTTGTGAGACAAAGCGTGATGATAACCAACAACCTAGGCCAATAGTAGAGCTTAGAAAAGACAGAACATGAGATTTCCGTCTCCCTAGGAAAAGAGAAGATTCGATTAAGTTGGTGGCCAACGTGCCTGAGAGAACCCTCAGGGAAAATAAAAGACTAGGAAGGTTGAGATATAGAATATAACCCTTCCTTTGGATCTAGTTCCTTGCAGTGGGGGCGGGGAGGACAGAAGTGACTAACATCACAGATTTGTGAGGAGATTGAGAAAGGAGCATATGCCTGCTTTACAGGTGGGGACATGGACACCAAGAAGTCAAGGTCTTTGCTCAAGATCAAACCTATTATCTATGTGCCTGTAAACTAGTTTCTTGAGCTCTGATCCTTGAATTTCCTGTAATAGGGGTAAGAATGGTACTAGATATACTTGCTGCAAAGATGGAGACAAGGCATGTCAAGCACTTGGCCCAGGGCCAGGTACACAGTAAGTTCTCTGTGCAAGTTAGCAACTATCGCCCAGTAGCAGAATGCAAGACAAACTGGGCCAGAGCTCAATTTGAGAGAGTTGTCTCTGTTAATTGTGATTCCCCGAAGCCAGAAATGACCCAAAGGCTTTTGGGCCATTCCCCAAATAGCCCCTTCTGTTAAATCTAGTGTCATATTAAAATTGGATTTATTAATTACTCTTAGGGGTATAAATTGAATTTTAAGGGTCTTATTTATAAGTTATACTTCTGCCTTCTTTAAAAGGAATCTGAGGAAGCTTACAACTAGATGCAACTTGAATAACAGAATTAATAACACACCAAAGCACAATAATGACTCCAGGAAGAAAGGTCCAAAACAATGTGGCAAAAGGGAGGATTAATTTTACCATAAGATGGAATGGGACAATACATTTCCCTTGGAGCTTCCTGGAAATGAAGGCAAAAAGGATAGCTAGTATCATTTGTTTCTGGCTACATAAACAGAAGTACATTTTTTATTTTGTTCAGAAACACAAACTTCATCTGTCACTCACTGCAAAGAAAAGATCATTAGACAGATCTTTTGACAAACATTAGCATCCTCAATAGCAGTTTTATAGAATATGAACAGAATACTCTTGTTTGGCTACTCCTGATCAACCCACAATAAAAACTAAAGTCATTGTGCTAAGTAGTAATTCAGGGAAAGCATTTCAATGAGTAGTGCAAGCACAATGGCAGGCCTGCCACTTAGTAGCTTTGCTCTGTGACCTTGGGTAAGTTACTTAATTTCTCTGGAGCCTCAACTTTCTCATTTTTAAATGGGGCTGATACCTAATTAGAGCACTCCTAGGGAATTAAATGTACTAAAACACCTACCATGTGTCTTGCACATCATATGTCTCTCCCTTTCTCCTGGGCTAATAATGGTGTACAGACATGCTGCTTTTGGTTATTTGCAAGAGACAGAACTGGGAAAACAGAAGGAATGAATATTCATCATGTTATCTCAGGGCCTGAGCATCTTGTTCCATGAGCAACAGGTAGGCAAATATGAATGTCTCTCAGGCTTTTTTATAGCATAAGTCACAAATGAATGCATGTGTCCACAGGGCTGGGTTTGGGTTATAATGGCATTTTTAGTCAAATTCTTTTGATACAGATGCTTTGCATATTAAACGCAGGAATATCCTTCACTTCCATAAAGAAACAGTTGTTCTCTCTCATTTTCTTTCTCTTCTTTCTTTCTTTTTTTTTTTCCTTTTTTTTTTTTTTGAGACAGAGTCTCCCTCTGTCACTCAGGCTGGAGTGCAGTGGTGCAATTTCGGCCCTACTGCAACCTCCGCCGCCCGAGTTCAAGCCATTCTCATGCCTCAGCCTCCCGAATAGCTGGGATTCCAGGCATGCACCACAATATCTGACTGATTTTTGTATTTTTAGCAGAAACAGGTTTCGCCATGTTGCCCAAGCTGGTCTTGAACTACTGACCTCAGGTGATCCACCTGCCTTGGCCTCCCAAAGTACTGGGATTACAGGCATGAGACACCATGCCTGGCCGTTCTCTCTCATTTTCCTTGAAATCTGTGCTAGTCCTAGTCTATCTTTTAAATTTTTATACTTTGTACAAGAAATATTTCACTGTCCTCTGAACTTATGATCAACAGTGTGGGTACAATTACAATAACTGTCACTTTGTGGCAGTTCTGTGAGATTACAGGGAGTATAATGAACTAGAAAACAAATGGGAATAGTGGTTTTTTGACTCACACCAAACAGATCTTTTCTATTGTTTTTCTTAAGAAAACAGAAAATTCTCTCAAAAATTTTCTCCTAAGTTTTTAAGAAAAGTCAGAAATCCGGATATTTAGATGGAATTTCCCTATTTTAAAATGCTGACAATTAATTCATGTAGGCCAAGACTACAAGCCAGATGAAAGAGGACTGTGTAATTCCTGATTTAGAGAGGCTTTCATAATTCAGAAATGTACATGGGCACTTTTCTAGAAAACTGAGGAGCAGAGTGCCTGTCCCTGGAGGGATTTATACTGAGGCAGGAGGCAGAGCAGATCCCTCCCTGCATTCTGCAAGTCCTCCAGCCAGCCTGGAGTCTAGGCTATCACTCAGGATATTTTCAAGGGGGAAAAAAATCCCACCTGTAATAGAGCTCCTTTCTGCTCTTCTCTTTCATATTTCCCTTTCTAAAAAATAAAATAAAATAAAATAAAGGAGGTTGTCAGTTCCACCAAGATGCAGAATTCCAAACAAAAGAGAAAAACTGTTAAATCTCCTGCTAAGGAAAAGCCTACAAAAGGGAATCAATTAATGTGAATTCTACTTGAGGACTCAGAAGTAATTGCTTGAGTGCTCCTCAAGAAAGGCTGCTGGAGTCTATTTGCATTTGTTGAGGGAGGGTGTTCTGCTCTCCACAGCCACTGAGGTCAGCAATGGGGTAAAAATAGTACCAGGAGTTTGAGGCTTATTAGAATGACACAGAACCTCCTTCTTCCGGCATTAAAGTGAATTAGGATCATTTATCTCCTTTGAGGAGACAGGAAGTTGCTTGTGCAGGGTGAAGAATACGTATCATACTTCCCTTTTTATGGTTTTGGTGTTAAAGACTGAATATTGAGGTCAGGGAATTAAATGATATTGTAGAGATGCCAAATACTAAAGGAGCATGTTCTATCATTTTGACTGCACTGCTTATGAAAAAGATTATTTCTTGTACACAGCAAACTCATTCATTTTTCTTTTTTCTTTTGCAATGCCTGAAAAATATCTTCAGAAATTGAATTCAGGGACCTAAAAATTATGTGTATTTCCTTTGGGCAGCAGTCAATTTTCCTGAAAGATGTGCTGATGTTTTTACAGTAGAAAGGGAGGTAAGGTCATAGAAAGTAGGCACAGTTCTTACCAGAACGTTTTACATGTGAAAAGAACATTTAAACCCAAGAGGCATGCTTTGAAGAGGCAATACACTTCAGCATGTGAAATTATTCATAATATTATAGTCATTAATAAATTTTAATTTTTTGCTACCAAGTGGCATGTTGATTAAAAATTAGTTAATTTTAATTTTTACCTTTAACCTCAAATTTGCTTTTCTGGGGCCTCATTCCCCGTTCTTAGTTCCTCTCATTCCACTTGAATCCACATAAAAACTTCTTTAAGTCTTAAGCTAGTATAAAGATGGTTTTAATACGTGTTTCTGGTTTAATCTTTCAAAATACATCATTTATGTCAAGTGGTTCCACAGGGTTGGCAGGCAGTCTGTTGAATATACAGCTGGAATAAAAATTACAGTGAAATGGAAAATACGTGAGCAAGAGTAGGTTGGGCCAATATTAAACAGACACAGCTATCATCTGAAGAGTATGAATTAAGTTCACTGTTTGGACTTGTGCAGGAATGCTTAGTCCCACAGTGAAGTTCATGATATTCCGAACATTTTGAATGAGTTTTATCTTTATGTCTTGCTCCAGGAAGCATGCATAAAATAATACAATAGCTTTATATCATTATGTTGATAATTCTACCTTGCTTTGATGACTGGAAGGCTAGAAGAAATATCTGAAAGTACCAAGATTGGTAATTTCCCAAACTAGCTGATGGCCAGAATCTACTTCAAACATATATCCCTAGGTCTTTCCCTTAGAAATTCTGACTCCCAGGTTATGGGATGGAGAAATTTTAAAAGGCTCCCAATATGGCTATTATGATCAGCAAGTCTTGGAATCCAAAAACCTAATCTAGCAGTTCTTAATGCTGAGTGAACACTAGAACAATGACTGAACACTAGAACAATGGAGGAACACAGCAATGCTTATGCCATGCTACATCCCAGATTAAGGAAATCAGACTCCCTGAAGGAATGTAGGAAGCTTCCAAGTGATTCTACTGTATAGTTGGGTTGAGAACCAGGAATCCTTACTCCATCCTCAGAGAGTACTAGAGCCACAGTGAGGCCAGGCCCACTTATTCTCTTCCCTGAAAGTGACAGTTTTACGAGAGATGGAGGAAGTGGGATGATAAATGAAACCACATTTGCAAGTTATATTCAAAACAGCAAAGGAGTGAGTCAGTGTTTCTTAAACATTTGGATCCAATGCCTTTCATGCAATTCAAGTTTTAAGCAACATGAGCTTTTGGTGATCTTTCACCCAATCTCTAACTCTGATAAGCCTCTCACTTGTCCCTACTGCTTGATTCATAGGGATGTCTTGAAGAATAAGGAGATAGTGACTGAAAAGGAGAGAGATGAGGTTCAGGGAAGTGAAGAGGGTGTGGGAAGCCACCCCCAGACTATGAGCTTGGCATGAAGCTGAAACCACCCTCATCTCTAAATCATTCATTCTCAGGGTAGAAAAGTGCTCCTTTTCCTGAAGATGGCATTCATAGAGAAGATAGACTGAGAGAAAACAGTTGATGCTGCAAATTCTGAGTGGGGGCAATGGAGGAGAGACTACACCAAAGGAACCTCCTTCCCCGCTGGGGACCATAGCCAACTGCACAGAGAAGCGGGGCAGGAAGATGCAGTATACACAGCAGTAAGCCAGGAGATCCATTTTGGAAAATACTGAGTGCCACAACTTAACATGCACTGTGCTAATAGGAGGGGCTGGGGCTGAGAATAAAAACAAATGAGACATGCTCCCCATCTTTAAGAGCTTGCAGCATGGCATGGAGAGAGACTATCTTGTCAAAAACCACTCTATAGACAGCTTTGCCTATGTATTTGTCTAATGCACTTGTATTAGACAAGGTATATCATAGCAAATTATATTCTAACAAATTAGAAAATGGGGCAGGCATGGTGGCTCATGCCTATAATCCCAGGTCTTTGGAAGGCCAAGGCAGGAAGGCTGCTTGAGGCCGGAGTTGAGACCAGCTTGGCAAAATAGCAAAACCCCATTCCTTAAAAAAAAAAAAAAAATTAGCCAGGTGTGGTGGCCTGTGTCTATAGTCAGAGCTACTTAGAAGGGGCTGGGGCAGCAGGATCCCTTGAGCTAGTTTGAAGTTTCAGTGAGCTATGATTGTGCCACTGCACTTCAGCCTGGGCAACTGTGAGACCCTGTCTCTTAAAAGCCTTACCCTTCTTGAGTCTCAGCATTACTATCAATAAAATGGGTACAACGTCTATACTGCAAGATAGTTTTGAGAATAAAATGACACGAACATCCACACAAAGTCTGGAACGCAAAAGTACCAGAATCATGCCCTATTTTCTCTTTAAAAGAAAAGTTGTTATCTTCTAGAGTAGGAAGACAAGGTTTCTGAAGGAGGTGGAAATTCAGCTAAACCTTGAAGGTTAAGAGTGATGGAAAATGCAAAGGCACAGAGGTAAGACAGTGAGGCAGGAGTTTGAGAATGAGTACATTAAACAACAGGAGATCTACCACTGGCTGCTGTAAAAGCCTTCCCCAATACAGTTTTGGATGTAATGTGACTGGCTCTCCAGCTTCTGAAAGAGTTGGGCCAATGTTCTTGTCTTCTAGAGGAGGGGAGAATATATTCAGGAGAGGACAAGACTGACAGGGAAGTAGCTGGTGGTAGTTGGAAATCAGCAAGATGGGAGCTGGGTCCCCAAAGCACAATCTTCCCAAATCAATAGAAGAAATAAATGCCTACTAACCATGGGATAGCTGGAAGCCCCAGCCAGCTACAGGATCCAGAATCATCCCCATCAATGTTTACACAGCTTTAGATGACTAACACTAGATGGTGGCAAACCCAAGTTTACACCTGGATAGATCTGGCTCCTGCAGCTAGATCCTCAGAACTCAAGGCTGGCTAACTATGTAGGCTGGCTTTCATCATTCCATTAACTTCACAGTAATGTTACCACGTGGTCTACACAAGTGGTTCTCAAAGTTTGGTCCTCAGACCACAAGCAGCACCCAGGAGCTTGTTAGAAATGAAAATGATCAGGTTCTACCTCAGACCCACTGAATCAGAAACTCTAAGGGTGGGGCCCAGTAATCTGTGCTTCAACAAGCTCTCCAGGATGTATACTAACGTTTGGGAACCCCTGCTTTACACACAGGAATTTCTGGGCCTATTATGCCATGGCAGGGTTTTACTGTACAACTGTGACCTTGGATAAATAATATACCTTTATATAGGACCAACAAAATGAAGAAAGAGGTAGCTGGAACAGAAAGATCTATCTCCAAGGTCCCTTTCAATTGTAACATGCTATAATTTATTAGTTCACCAGTGGGGGAAATGTTTACAGCTCATTAGTTCAAACAGATGGGTAGTGTTGGCATTTGTGGATCTTGTTGCATGCATTGAGTGTGGTATGTTTGAATTCTAATGGCTAATTTTAACATGCTACACATCTTCATTATTAGACTTATTAGGCTATTAATGTTAATGCTATATGATTGACCCCCATATGGAGGGGAGCATTAAAACATGAGCTTTGTGTGAGGAAAACCAACAATTTAATTGCAATGAATTTCTTGTCTCTGTTGTGGTTACATATAACCATTAAGAACTAGACCTTTCACTGAATTAAAATTCTAAACAAAGGCAGTCAGAATTGATTTAAATAATTAAATCCTGGAACAACTACTTTCAAATAAACCTCTCATCCAGAACCTAAAAAACTTTACGATGATAGCCAATACTTACAGGTAAATCAAACATGTAAGCCACTTCGCCTGACAAATCAGCTCAAATCAGAGGTCCAGGGGAGGGCTGGCAAGATGGCCAAACAGGAACAGCTCTGGTCTGCAGCTCCCAGTGAGATCAATGCAGAAGGCGGGTGACTTCTGCATTTCCAACTAAAGTACCTGGCTCCTCACTGGGACTGGTTAGAAAGTGGGTTCAGCCCATGGAAGGCAAGCAGAAGCAGGGTGGGGCGTCACCTCACCTGGGAAGTGCAAGGAGTCAGGGAACTCCCTCCCATAGCTAAGGGAAGCCTTGAGGGACTGTATCCTGAGGAACGGTGCATTCCAATGCAGATACTATGCTTTTCCCATGGTCTTCGCAACACCAGGGCCCTGAGGCTTGAGTAGGCGGGTTTTTCCCCTCACATTGTAAACAAAGCCACTGGGAAGTTCAAACTGGGCAGAGCCCCACCACAGCTCCGCAAACCCTCTGTAGCCAGACTGCCTCCCTAGATTCCTCCTCTCTAGGCAGGGCATGTCTGAAAGAAAGGCAGAAGATCCAGTCAGGAACTTATAGATAAAATTCCCATCTCCCTGGGATACAGCACCTGGGGGAAGGGCCGGCTGTGGGCCCAGCTTCAGCAGACTTAAGTGTTCCTACATGCCAGCTCTGAAGGGAGCAGTGGATCTCCCAGCACAGTGCTCAAGATCTGCTAAAGGACAGACTGCCTCCTCAAATGGGTCCCTGACACTTGTGCCTCCTGACTAGGAGACACTTCACAGCAGGGGTCGACAGACACCTCATACAGGAGAGCTTCAGCTGGCATCTGGTGGGTGCCCCTCTGGGACAAAGCTTCCAGAGGAAGGAACAGGCAGCAATCTTTGCTATTCTGCAGCCTCTGCTGGTGATACCCAGGCAAAGAGGATCTGGAGTTGACCTCCAGCAAACTCCAATGGTCCTGCAGCAGAGGGGCCTGACTCTTAGAAGGAAAACTAACAAACGGAAAGGAATAGCATCAACATCAACAAAAAGGATGTCAACACAACAATCCCATCCATAGGTACCAACATCAAAGACCAAAGGTAGATAAATCCACAAAGATGAGGAAAAACCTGCCCAAAAAGGCTGAAAATTCCAAAAACCAGAACACCTCTTCTCCTCCAAAGGATCACAACTCCTCGCCAGCAAGGGAACAAAACTGGATGGAGAACGAGTTTGACAAATTGACAGAAGTAGGCTTCAGAAGGTGGGTAATAACAAACTCCTCCGAGCTAAAGGAGCATGTTCTAACCCAATGCAAGGAAGCTAAGAACCTTGATAAAAGGTTAGAGGAATTGTTAACTGGAATAACCAGTTTAGAGAAGAACATAAATGACCTGATGGAGCTGAAAAACACAGCACGAGAACTTCGTGATGCATACAGAAGTATCAATAGCTGAATTGATCAGGCAGCAGAAAGGATATCAGAGATTGAGGATCAACTTAATGAAATAAACTGTGAAGACAAGATTAAAGAAAAAAGAATGAAAAGGAATGAACAAAGCCTCCAACAAATATGGGACTATGTGAAAACACCAACCTATATTTGATTGGTGTACCTGAAAGTGACGGGGAGAATGGAACCAAGTTGGAAAACACTCTTCAGGATATTATCCAGGAGAACTTCCCCAATCTAGCAAGACAGGCCAACATTCAAATTCAGGAAATACAGAGAGCACCACAAAGATACTCCTTGAGAAGAGCAACCCCAAGACATACAGTCATCAGATTCACCAAGGTTGAAAAGAATGAAAAAATGTGAAGGGCAGCCAGAAAGAAAGGTCGGGTTACCCACAAAGGGAAGTGCATCAGACTAGCAGCAATCTTTCAGCAGAAACCCTACAAGCCAGAAGAGAGTGGGGATCAATATTCAACATTCTTAAAGAATTTTCAACCCAGAATTTCATATCCAGCCAAACTAAGCTTCAGAAGCGAAGGAGAAATAAAATCCTTTACAGACAAGCAAATACTGAGAGATTTTGTCACCACCAGGCCTGCCTTACAAGAGCTCCTGAAGGAAGCACTAAATATGGAAAGGAAAAACCAGTACCAGCCACTCCAAAAACATACCAAATTATAAAGACCATCCACTCCACAAAGAAACTGCATCAACTAATGGGCAAAATAACCAGCTAGCACCATAATGGCAGGATCAGATTCACCCATAACAATATTAACCTTAAATGTAAACCAGCTAAATGCCCCAATTAAAAGACACAGACTGGCAAATTGGATAGAGTCAAGACCACTGGTGTGCTGTATTCAGGAGACCCATCTCATGTGCAAGGACGCACATAGGCTCAAAATAAAGGGATGGAGGAAGATTTACCAAGCAAATGGAAAGAAAAAAAAAAAGCAGCAGGGGTTGCAATCCTAGTCTCTGATAAACAGACTTTAAACCAACAAAGATCAAAAAAGACAAAAAAAGGGCATTACACAATGGTAAAGGGATCAATGCAACAAGAAGAGCTAACTATCCTAAATATATATGCACCCAATACAGGAGCACCCAGATTCATAAAGTAAGTTCTTAGAGACCTACAAAGAGACTTAGACTCCCACAAAATAATAGCGGGAGACTTTAACACCCCATTGTGAATATTAGACAGATCAATGAGACAATAAATTAACAAGGATATTCAGGACTTGAACTCAGCTCTGGACCAAGTGGACCTAACAGACATCTACAGAACTCTCCACCCCAAATCAACAGAATATACAGTCTTCTCAGGACCAAATCACACTTATTCTAAAATTGACCACATAACTGGAAGTAAAACACTCCTCAGCAAATGTAAAAGAATGTAAATCATAACAAGTAGTCTTTCAGACCACAGTGCAATCAAATTAGAACTCAGTATTAAGAAAGTCATTCAAAACCACACAACTACACAGAAACTGAACAACCTGCTCCTGAATGACTACTGGGTAAATAACAAATTTAAGGTAGAAATAAATAAATTCTTTGAAACCAATGAGAACAAAGACACAATGTACCCGAATCTCTGGGACACAGCTAAAGCAGTGTTTACAGGAAAATTTATAGCATTAAATGCCCACAGGAGAAAGCAGGAAAGCTCTAAAATTGACACCCTATCATCACAATTAAAAGAACTAGAGAAGCAACAGCAAACAAATCCAAAAGATAGCAGAAGACAAGAAATAACTAAGATCAGAGCAGAACTGAAGGAGATAGAAACATGAAAAACCCTTCAAAAAAAAATCAATGAATCCAGGAGCTATTTTTTTTTTAAAGATTAACAAAATAGCTAGACTGCCAACCAGGCTAATAAAAAAGAAAAGAGAGCATAATAAAATAGGTACAATAAAAAATGATAGAGAGGATCAGTCACCACTGATCCCACAGAAATACAAACTACCATCAGAGAATACTATAAACACCTCTACACAAACAAACTAGAAAATCTAGAAGGAATGGATACATTCCTGGCCACATACACCCTCCCAAAACTAAACCAGGAAGAAATCAAATCCCTCAATAGACCAATAACAAGGTCTGAAACTGAGGTAGTAATTAATAGCCTACCAACCAAAAAAGCCAATGACCAGATGGAGTCACAGCTGAATTTTACCAGAGGTATAAAGAAAAGCTGCTTCCATTCCTTCTGAAACTATTACAAACAATGGACAAAGAGGGACTCCTCCCGAACTCATTTTATGAGGCCAACATCATCCTGATACCAAAATCTGGCAGGGACACAACAAAAAAAGAACATTTCAGGCCAATATCCCTGATGAAGGTCAACGCGAAAATCCTCAATAAAATACTGGCAAACCTAATCAAGCAGCATATCAAATAGCTTATCCACCATGATCAAGTCGGCTTCATCCCGGGGATGCAAGGCTGGTTCAACATATGCAAATCAATGAACGTACTCCATCACATAAACAGAACCAATGACAAAAACCACATGATTATCTCAATAGATGCAGAAAAGGCCTGTGACAAAAATTCAACACGCATTCACGCTAAAAACTCTCAATAAACTAGGAATTAATGGAACGTATCTCAAAATAGTAAGAGCTATTTATGACAAACCCACAGCCAATATCATACAGAATGGGCCAAAGCTGGAAGCATTCCTTTTGAAAACCGGCACAAAGACAAGGATGCCCTCTCTCACCACTCCTGTTCAACATAGTATTCGAAGTTCTGGCCAGGGCAGTCAGGCAAGAGAAAGAAAAAAAGAGTATTCAAATAGGAAGAAAGGAAGTCAAACTGTCTCTGTTTGCAGATGACATGATTGTCTATTTAGAAAACCCCATCGTCTCAGCCCAAAATCTCCTTAAGCTGATAAGCAACTTCAGCAAAGTCTCAGGATACAAAATCAACGTGCAAAAATCACAAGCATTCCTATACACCAAAAATAGACAAACAAAAAGCCAAATCATGAGTGAACTGCCATTCAGAATTGCTACAAAGAGAATAAAATACCTAGGAATACAACTTACAAGGGATGTGAAGGACCTCTTCAAGGAGAACTACAAACCACTGCTCAAGGAAATGAGAGCAGACACAAACAAATGGAAAAACATTCCATGCTCATGGATAGGAAGAATCAATATCATGAAAATGGCCATACTGCCAAAAGTAATTTATAGATTCAATGATATCCCCATCAAGCTACCACTGACTTTCTTCACAGAATTAGAAAAACTAATTTAAATTTCATATGGAACCAAAAAAGAGCCCACATTGCCAAGACAATCCTAAGCAAAAAGAATAAAGCTGGAGGCATCATGCTACCTGACTTCAAACTATACTACAAGGCTACAGTAACCAAAATAGCATGGTACTAGTACCAAAACAGATATATAGACCAATGGAACAGAACAGAGGCCTCAGAAATAATACCACACATCTACAACCATCTGATCTTTGACAAACCTGACAAAAACAAGCAATAGGGAAAGAATTCCCTATTTAATAAATGGTGTTGCAAAAACTAGCTAGCCATATGCAGAAAACTGAACCTGGACCCCTTCCTTACACCGTATACAAAAATTAACTCAAGATGAATTAAAGACTTAAGTTTTAGACCTAAAACCATAAAAACCTAGAAGAAAACCTAGGCAATACCATTCAGGACATAGGCATGGGCAAAGACTTTGTGACTAAAACACCAAAAGCAATGGCGACATAAGCCAAAATTGACAAATGGGGCCTAATTAAACTAAAGATCTTCTGCACAGCAAAAGAAACTATCATCAGAGTGAACAGGCAACCTACAGAATGGGAGAAAATTTTTGCAATCTATCCATCTGACAAAGGGCTCCAGAATCTACAAGGAATTAAACAAATTTATAAGGAAATAAAAACAACCCCATCAAAAAGTAGGCAAAGGATATGAACAGAAACTTATCAAAAGAAGACATTTATATAGCCAACAAACGTACGAGAAAAAGTTCATCATCACTGGTCATTTGAGAAATGCAAATCAAAACCACAATGAGATATCATATCATGCCAGTTAGAATGGTGATCATTAAAAAGTCAGGAAAGAACAGATGCTGGAGAGGACGTGGAAAAATAGGAACGCTTTTAAACCATTGGTGGGAGTGTCAATTAATTCAACCATTTGGAAGACAGTGTGGCGATCCCTCAAGGATCTAGAACCAGAAATACCATTTGACCTAGCAATCCTGTTACTGGGTATATACCCACAGTATTATAAATCATTCTACTATAAAGACACATGCACATGTATGTTTACTGCGGCACTATTCACAGCAGCAAAGACTTGGAACCAACCCAAATGACCATCAATGATAGACTAGATAAAGAAAATGTGGCACATATACAACATGGAATACTACACAGGCATAAAAAAGGATGAGTTCATGTCCTTCACAGGGATATGGCTGAAGCTGTAAACCATCATTCTCAGCCAACTAATGCAGGAAGAGAAAACCAAACACCATGTGTTCTCACTCATAAATAGGGGTTGAACTATGAGAATATGTGGACACAGGGAGGGGAACATCACACACGGGGGCCTGTCAGGAGGTGGTGGGGGGCTAGGGGAGGGATAGCATTAGAAGAAATACCTACTGTAGATGATGGGTTGATGGGTGCAGCAAACCACCATGGCACATGTATACCTATGTAACAAACCTGCACATTCTGCACATGTATCCCAGAACTTAAAGTATAAATTTTTTTTTTTTAATTAGAGGTCTAAAATTCAGGTCTAAAAGTTGAAGAAAATTGGCTATACCTCAAAGAAATCAGAGTGGGGATGAGTCTAAAATTTAATAAACAACTAGCCATCTGTTTCCAGGCTTAAGCTGTGGATATACACAGACACTTTGATACAGGCTTTGTAAATTAAAATGTAAGTTCTGGGAAGGCAGAAATTTCATGTGTCTTGACTGCTGCAGTATCCTTTGTACTTGGTATAAGTTCAGGCACACGGTGGTTTTTTAGTATATTGGTGATCCTCCAAATGATCCTCCAAATGATCCTCCAAAATTAACATAAGGGGTGCTGTCCAAGCGAATTTTCTGTGATGATAGAAATGTTCTATAAATTCTACTGTCCAATAGAGTAGCTACTAGCTACATGTGGTTACTAAGCATTTAAAACAAACATGTTTAGTTTAACTAGGGAACCAAATTTTAAATTTTAATTCATTTACATTTAAACAGCTACATGTGGCTAATGATTACCATATTGGACAACATAGTTAATAAAGGCTGGGACAAATGTGGGGACTAGGGAGGAAACAACAACATAAGACAAAAACAATGAGTGTGTAATACAGAAAACCATTATATACAATTTCTGACCCTGGGAAGTCATTGATATAAGAGCAGATTGGGTGGGCAATGCTTCTTAGGCTCTGGATTCTCTTTGCTTTCCTTTAAATCCGCTAAAAGTTGTGGCAGCAGTTGTTGAGGCAGGGAGGATTGGGTTTCAGATTCAACGAGAAGAGTCTGTATTCTTCTCCGACCAGGGACAAAGTGGTGTTTAACCCATGGACATCATGGCCACTGTGAGAACGACTGCTGGATGGCTAGGGACAGCAAGTGCCTGCAGAAGCATAAGTAGTGAGCTCAGAACTTCTCTCTTGGCTGAGCTCGCTTTCTGGTTCAGGTGTGCATTCATTCAAATATTTTCCAATCCCATGTTCCGCATTTCCAACTGAGATACTGGGTTCATCTCACTGGGGCTTGTTGGACGGTGGGTGCAGGAGAGTGGGTGCAGCCTACCGAGCATAAGCAGAAGCAGGGCGAGGCATTGCCTCACCTGGTAAGCACAAGGGGTAAGGGAATTCCCTTTCCTAGCCAAGGGAAGCCGTGACAGACGGCACCTGGAAAATCGGGTCACTCCTACCCTAATACTGCGCTTTTCCAACGGTCTTAGCAAACGGCACACCAGGAGATTATATCCCGTGCCTGGCTTGGAGGGTCCCATGCCCATGGAGCCTCACTCACTGCTAGCACAGCAGTCTGAGATCGAACTGCAAGGTGGCAGTGAGGCTGGGGTAGGGGTGCCTGCCATTGCTGAGGCTTGAGTAGGTAAACAAAGCAGCCATGAAGCTCGAACTGGGTGGAATCCACCACAGCTCAAGGAGGCCTGCCTGCTTCTGTAGACTCCACCTCTGGGGGCAAGGCATAGCTGAAAAAAAGGCAGCAGAAACTTCTGCAGACTTAAACGTCCCAGTCTGACAGCTTTGAAGAGAGTAGTGGTTCTCCCAGCACGGAGTTTGAGATCTGAGAATGGACAGACTGCCTCCTCAAGTGGGGTACTGGGAGGCACCTCCCAGTAGAGGCCGACTGACACCTCATACGGCTGGGTGCCCCTCTGAGACGAAGCTTCCAGAGGAACGATTAGGCAGCAACATTTGCTGTTCTGCAATATTTGCTGTTCTGCAGCCTCCGCTGGTGATACCCAGGCAAACAGGGTCTGGAGTGGACCTCCAGCAAACTCCAACAGACCTGCAGCTGAGGGTCCTGACTGTTAGAAGGAAAACTAACAAACAGAAAGGACATCCACACCAAAACTCTAACTGTACGTCACCATCATCAAAGACCAAAGGTAGATAAAACCACAAAGATGGGGAGAAATCAGAGTAGAAAAGCTGAAAATTCTAAAAATCAGAGTGCCTTTTCTCCTCCAAAGGAATGCAGCTCCTCGCCAGCAACAGAACAAAGCTGGACAGAGAATGACTTTGATGAGTTGAGAGAAGAAGGCTTCAGATGATCAAACTTCTCCGAGCTAAAGGAGGAAGTTCGAACCCATTGCAAAGAAGCTAAAAACCTTGAAAAAAGATTAGACGAATGGCTAACTAGAATAACCAATGCAGAGAAGTCCTTAAGGGACCTGATGGAGCTGAAAACCATGGCACAAGAACTAGGTGACGAATGCACAACCTTCAGTAGCTGATTCAATCAAGTGGAAGAAAGGGTATCAGTGATTGAAGATCAAATGAATGAAATGAAGTGGGAAGACAAGTGTAGAGAAAAAAGAGTAAAAAGAAACGAAGCCTCCAAGAAATATGGGAGTATGTGAAAAGACCAAATCTACGTCTGATTGGTGTACCTGAAAGTGACAGGGAGAATGGAACCAAGTTGGAAAACACTCTGCAGGAGTGTTTCCACTCCTGGAAGAGAACTTCCCCAACCTAGCAAGGCAGGCCGACATTCAAATTCAGGAAATACAGAGAACGCCACAAAGACACACCTCGAGAAGAGCAATGCCAAGACACATAATAGAGGAAATCTTGAGGAGAAAGGATTTCTTTGCAAAATGAGATAATTAAATGAGTGTCACTTAATTTTAATCTTTACAAAAGATGTGCCCTTTTTTTCTCTACCCAAACTAGTAAAGACTGTTTGCTGTTCACATGATGTAAGGTCTAAAATTGAGGCTTCAGTTCACATGTAAGATCCCCTGGCCAAACTGCCCTCCTTATCCAAACGACCAGGTGCAGTTCCTGCTTATCCCTGAGTAGTGGTTTGCAGTTACTTGTCAGTCAGTAGAATTATTCAAAGAAATCAATTTTATCCTCTTGAGGGAACCAGGGGGTACCCCATCCTCTTGATCCTATAAAATGGCCTCTGGTTGTTCACACTCTTACCATATGCAACTCCCATGTGGCCCTGAATGGTATAAAGAAAGCTTCTCCCAAAGCTATGAGTATATATGACTACTAAATGTCTATTGACCACATCTATCTAGTGTTAGGAGTTGTGTGTTTTGCCATTCTCAAAATCCACATAATCCTAGGGTGGGAATCCCTCTCTCGCCAGTGGGTTTAACTAGAGGTGATAAAAACAAGTTATACGAAAATTCTTCATAAATAATTCATCAGTTGCTGATGAGCCAGGTACCATTTATCAATACTCAGGACAACGCTCACCCTTCTGAGCTCTCTCTTGTACCTCAGGGGCATGACGCCTGGAAACTACATCTCTCAGAGACTTTTCTCTCAGGATTTGCATTAATCCCACCATTTGAAGATACTTGCATGTCATTAGAAAGATGAAAGAGAAGGAGAAGCCATTATTCTCCAGTGTCAGCTATGGGGTAGTGGTAGACAAAAGATGGAAGGTTTTGTCAGAGGCTTCTAACAAACCAGAGGACCAGTCATTTGATTACAGAAAGGAAGTAAGACTTTTGGTGGTCACTTCCTTATGACTCTCATGTCTGAGTTTCTGAAATTTGCTGTAGCAGATACCTCTGTACCCTGGCTCATATTTTCTTGGCTTCACCTCTGATTTCAGCCATGACTGCACAGTTCCATACAGCCTTCAACTCATATCATGCTGGAAGTATTCTACCTCGGGTGCAGGCTCCACATTTCTACTTTCTGTTGTAGAGTTTCTCCAACAATGCAGATGCCATGGGAGTTAGTTGGGCCCACATACGTGTGTACAGCTCAGAAATACAGGGAGTTAATATCCCTGGGGGCAAGTCCTAGGAGCCAATAGAGAAATCCTCCTACCTTCCATACTTTGGGTGGACAATTCTGGAAGGTACTCTGTGTGCTTCTCATTAGATTTTGATAGAATCAAGCTCCTACCTACCAAATGCAACCTCTGTAACACACCCCTATGTTGGCCATTCCTTTTTCCTCACTCTACCACTGCGGATCCCTGGTATCACCTCCCAAATAAACCGCCTGCTCATAACTCCTTGCCTTAGGCTGTGCTTTGAAAGGATCCAAGCTATGATGATAGCCCTTTCTGATCTTCACTCCTCCAGCCCTCCAAAGGTAATACAAAAACCTTTAATTACCTGTACTAAAATGTTTCCTATTCCTCAGAGAGTGGCTTCTGTTTTCCTGAACAAACTATGACTAATATACTGCAGTTACATAGTAGTCTATGTTATATCATTTTGTTTATCTGTTACTCTGTGAATGGATATTGTGTGCCTGCATCATCTTACTTTTGTTATCATCAGCACATTGATTTCCATAGAAGACATTACTAATACATCGTTTTACTAATAGTCATTCTCTCAATTTCCTAATTTTGTCTAACCTGACAGTGTACCTAACCCAAATATTAATTTCTCAGCCTCTCTTACTGGTAGCAGGGACACAATTCTGGCTAACGAGAAACGAGAAGTCTACCCGGGATTTCCAGGTAAGTTTTGCCTGTTCTCCTTCCCTTTTTCTCTTCCCACCTGGAAGAATGACATGTGATAAACTTGCCATCCTACAATCACAAAAGCACAAAGAGGACAAAAGTCACTGAAGGAGCCTTGGGATGTCAATGGCATCATGGAGCTGACTCAGCAGCCCTGAATGTTGGTCTATTCACTTCTTGTTACTTGAGATGGATAAATGTCTATTGTGTTAAACCACTGTGATGGTTTCTCTGACACTGCTGAATGCAATCCCCTACCTGATGCACTGCATTTATACTATTAACTTTAGATTTCCTTTGACTAGACTCCCAGAAGAAAACTGTCACATCAAAAGAGGTATAAACATGTAAATTTATGATATAGCTGCCAAATTACTTTCAAAAAGGACTACATCAAGCTACATGGCCACCATCATCATTTGAAACTATCTATTCTGGAAAGAAATATTGTACTTGTTTTCTAATTATCTTGCTAACTGGTTTCCATTTTGATTAGCAATCTTGTATACCACTGGTAGGCTCCAAGCTCATAGGCTACGTGGTGATAAAAAGCTCTGTGGGAGCCCTATTCAAAATATCTTGGTATTTTTCCTACTCAAAAAAGCAGCACATATAATATTCCTACAATGATTGTATCACAGGGTATCAGGACAGCCAGTGTGACCTCCTTCAAAAAGAATTTCCTTGCTGCTCCAATTAGAACACAGTGGTCAAGGAGGCCATAGACATAAGAAGATTAAAAACAATGAGAAGATGACAAGGAGACCAGTGTGGCCAATGGCTTACCAACAGCTAAAGGATTTGCTATATCTGTAAAAGGTGGACAAAGATTGAAAAGTCTCTTCAGCATTCCAAATGAAAGAACTGTCAGATAGCAAAAGAAAAAGGTGAGACATATCTATCTGATTGCCCCAGAGCTAACGTGGCCTGCAAGAAGTACTGGCATGGAAAGGGAAATTAAAGAAACATTGGTAAAGAGAAGACCACAGCAAAATAGGTGTGCTCACCACGTATAGGTTTGTCATGTACTGTTTGTGTTCAAAGCTCCACTTCAGATTATATCTGAGCTCATTTTCCCACTTTATTAGCAACTCTAAGAGGAAAGATCCTTGGCTAAGTCATAACAACACTGCTTCCTGGCAGAGACTCTTAGAATGTCACTGGTTCATTTATTCATATTAATCCATTCATTCACTCATTCACACTTTTCCTGCATGTCTACTACCAATAAGTGGTACAATATATCCCGCGGACTCAAGGAGCTTACCCATCTAGGAGTGGTAATTGACACATACAGTAATAATGACAACACAAAGGCACTGTAGGTTAAGAGCCACAACAGAAATACCGTATGCTGCATTACAAGAGAATAGGAAAAATTTCCTCCAGACGGGATGACTAGAGGGAAACCCACATAAAGAAGATGATAGCTGAGATGAACCATGAATGGTGGAAAGGATGTCAAGAAGAATGTTTGGAAGAGAAAAGCAATAAATATGATAGAAAAAAAGTAGGGTACAAAATTATGAGATCTTGGATCTTGTCTTAGTCTCTCCCTTAGGATGAGATATTATACATTACTTAAATTTTGTGGGCCTCAGTTTGCTTACCTTTAAAAATGAGACACGGTATTACCTTCAGGGATTGCTCATTACAAGTATTACATTAGACAATACATGTGGAAGTATCCTCTAAATTATAAAGAAGTATAATTAGTTGTCGTTTCTTATTATGATTGTTTTTATTATTCTTCCACATAGAGCAAACAGGATTAACAAGTTCAAATGTGAAAAAATTCAGGATGTGAACTTTTTGTTTATAAGAAATATTTTATAAATAATAACAAGGTTGTTCTTTCCAGATTTAAGATCATACATGATTTACATAATGGATGTTTAAATAGTCATCTGTCATCTATTGTCCTTTGAGAGACATGCACACACATGTCAAGTGTTAGTGCCGGGGGGCAGACACTGTATCTCACTATGTCAGTATACATGGTAACTATTATGCCATATCTGAACAGATCTCTGTATTTAAAATTTTTACATTTCTATGATTTTGGGATTTGCTGTACAGGATTTAAATAGTTACAATTTCATGAGATTGCATTTAAAACCAGGAAGGAGATCTAAAGCCTTTAACATAAGAAAGCTGCTCCTTATTAGAAAGGAAATTGGTCCCAACCCATGTTGTGTTTTGCACACACCTAGGTAGCCTCTCTGGCCAGTAGAGATGGTAGAACTTAGATAAAGTGAATTTGTTCCCCTGCTGATCAGAAAAAAAAAAAAACCATGGAATTTCACACTGAAAACACATCATGGGGCTTTTGTTTTCATTTTTGATTCTGGTAAGTTTGAACATTCAGGAAGGTAATTTTTTAAAAAACTACCAGAAAAGGCAACTTATTTTTCTTTGTTAGGATGAATCTAGTTTCTACAGAAGAGATGCAATTTGAAAAAATAGTATTAATGAATTCAGAAAACTGTCCACAGAAAAACTGGCATAAACACACTCAAAGAAGTCAGAATCTCAAGGAAGTGTCCAGTGAAATTGCTTATATTACTAATTTGTGGGGAAAAAAGATAAGGTTAAATTAAGTAGAAGTTGATATGATTTAGGAATTAATGTTCAGCTGGGCATGGTGGATCATGCCTGTAATCCCAGCACTTTGGGAGGCTGAGGCGGGCGGATCACGAGGTCAGGAGTTCAAGACTAGCCTGACCAATATGGTGAAACCCCGTCTCTACTAAAAATACAAAAATTAGCCGGGTGTGATGGCACACACCTGTAGTCCCAGTTACTCAGGAGACTGAGGCAGGATGATCACTTGAACCTGGGAGGCAGAGGTTGCAGTGAGCCAAGATCGCACCACTGCACTCCAGCCTGAGTGACAGAGTGAGGCTCTGTCTCAAAAAAAAAAAAAAAAGAATCAATGTTCCTACTATTCCTAAGCATTTGTATTTCATTAAACCTTACAATTAAATATTTTATAAATAAGATTGATTTCAGCTAATGTTTATATTTAATCAGTTTAATAGTAAACTCAATTTTTATACAAAAAGCCTAATTATGTAAAAGAAAAATGCCCATCTCCTTATTCCAGTTGATCAGTAATATGAGAAAGAGACCTGAAAGTATACCTAAAGCCCTGTCATTTATCTGGGTACTATGTTGGAATTGTAAGTAAAAGCAAAGGAAATGAACATTTATTGTGCAATGACTGTGTGCCCAGCAACATGCCAGATGGGACTGTTTCACTGATGGCTTCACATAGGCCTCATAAAATAGGTATCGGCAATCTTATTTTTTTGGAGTGCTAAGAAAGTTTAGGTTACTCAGGGTCATAAAGCAGAGCCATGATTCCAACTCAGGACTTTGCTAAGCTCACTGTCCTTCTATCAAACCATGCTTCTTCCTACAAGATAAAAAAAAATGTAGAGTTTCTTAAAAATTAGCCTTGAAAACCCAAACCTACCAAATGCCCACATCATCAGTAACCACACAGGCTCCTCATAAATGCTTTTCATTCATTGAATTATCTCTGAACATTTATTTCTTTAGGCTTTCTAAAAAGTGACCAAAAGAACATCATTTATCTTTGATTTTGATAGCTTTTTTTTAACTGAGGGGAAAGTGCAACTGTTAAAAAGCCTTTTTATGTTGACTTAATGACAAAGTTTTGCCTCTTGTTTAGCCTCCCACACTGAAGATTAGATCCACACACTTCTGCTCCCTTAGTCATAAAAAAGGAAATGTTGCTTTGTAAAGCAATGCTCAAATTCTTTCTAGAGCCTTCTCTCCTAGTTTAAGAATGTACTTTGACCTAGGCTAACAAACACTTCAGGTATGGATTCCTGAAAAAGATTTCTCATGGATTTTTCTACCTTTCTGCTGAAGCTACTGGCTTCTTTTTCTACACACACATGCACGCACACACGCGCACACACACACACACAGTGTAAACTTCTTTTTCAGGAATCCATATAGGCCTCCTCTTGACTAGTATATGAAGTTTCCTCAGCATTGCCCGATCTCACCTTTTCTTGCTTCCCAATGCATTCTCCTTCCTCATGAAGCTGGCCGCCTCACCCGCTTCCTCCTGTGCATACTCACAAAGAAGCCTGGAGCCGCTCATTTCCACCTCAGTATTAACTCCCCACAGGAAATGTCCTCTCTCCTTCCCTGTGGCGATTCAAACATGTTTCCTTCAGGACTTTCCTCCTCCAAAACCCCTTCCTGCTGTAATTCCTCCCTAGCTAGCTACTGAAATGCTAGCTTCCTAGGCATTCCACTTTCCTGATGCATTTCTCCTCACTCCACATTCCTCTCAGTTCATTATTCTGTCTCCTCCTCTGACTCCTCTTAAATGGACATTCCTGCCTATCCTAGGCTCCACACTCTTTTCTTCCTCTAAACACTCTCCCTAGGCAATTACTTCAAAACTCTCAAATCTTAGTTACCTCTGCATTAGTGATGCCTCTAACTACGGACACCTCCCTGAGCTTCCCACATGCCTGCTGGACAACTCCTCAGAAAAGTACTGCTCAAATCTCCTACTCAATGTGTCCAAAATAAGAGGAGTAAACTAGTTTCAATACATATTTCAACTGCTTTTATATTTCGGTAATGGACTTACTCTTTCAATAACCCAAGCTGAAACTCTTGCCCTCTACATCTTACTAGGAAATAAACCTCAGTGTATCCTTCCCTTGCAATTGTAACTCTTCCTCCTGCATCCAAACACTGGTTCTTCAAGCTGTCAGAGCTTGTGCAGCTTTGGCCATGGGACATACATGATCTCAGCAAAATAGCCAGCTGGAGCTATTTTGGGACAGAGTGGGATAGGGGCAGAGCTGGGAAACTAATCTGATTGGAAAGATTGGTCTTGAGAAGTTGGGCCACTCTGGCATGTCAGCACCACAGAGACATATTCAAGCAGTCTGGGTGCATCAGTAATCAGGTTTTAAATAACAGGATGGCAGCATCATGATTTTACCCCATCGATTCATTCACAGCAGGGTCCACGTCCAGCAGCAGGCACTTGTAATAGCCTCCCACTGGTTTCCTGCCCTCTACCTCCTAGCTTCTAAAAATCCAATCTGATTCCTACACTAGTACACCTCAAATTATTCAGTAGCTTTCCACTGGGCAGTGATAACATATGAATCTTGACTAGGTAGAAGCAGGAAGTTGGGAAGGAGACTTTAATGGCCAGTGCAAGATTGACGAGAGAATATTTTCTTTACCTGTACCACAAAACTGGCAGAGTTCCAGATAGAGGTGATATCATCTGCGTGGGTCTCAGAGTGAAGATGACATTAAACAGAGCTGAAGCCCATCCTTGTTGGCATGTGGCATGAGTGAAAAATATACTCGTATGATTGTCACCTACTGTTATTTTGTGGTTGATTTTTACCATAGAATAAACCAGCGTACCCTGCCAGATATAGTGACTTTCATAAACATTTCTCAAAACTTCAGAGGAGAAGGGGCTTATTTCATACTAACATAGGTGAAAGTTTGCTTACTAAGCTAAAATAATGAATAGTGAGAGAGAAAACTTGGTGAATTGAAAACCTGGTATTAAGGCTCTGGAGGGGACTGTGATTTTCTGAAACTAATTGCCTACTCTGAGTCTGCCTCCCTCTATGTATTTTTCTTAAAAGAACCACTTTTGCATGGTTGTATTGCTTATAGATCCTCCCACCCCAATCCTTGAGTTCTATTCATAACAGTACTACTCAAAAATATAGTCTGTCACTTCAATTAACTTTAATGAAAAATGATTTAATGTTTTTAATCATTAAGAATAAAAATGAACCACATTGGTACTCTGGGAACTTTTTTTTTCTTTGCTAAGAACTACCATTTAATTGAAATACCAGCTCTTCAATAACTCTGACCAAATCATAACATATCTGGCACCAATGGCTAAAGAATATCTTGAACTATTAGTTTAGATCCTCATATAGCAGTGATTACCTCCAGTAACATCCCGTATGAGCCAATATTCCTCTTTGTTCATAAGAGCGAGGAAGAAAAACACAAATATATTGTCTGAATACTTCAAGCAGCTAGCACAGTGCCCAGCACAGACTGTGTGACCAATAAATGCCAGGTCTCTTCTTGTACCCAGCCCCTGACCTGCTGCTTTACTGAAGAGATATGGCTGATTAGACTTACTGTCATTTTAAGGTTTTAAAACAGGAAGGCAAGTGATTTCTCCACAGCTCTGTTTTTAAAGAAGCTCAGTTTTCTCAACCAGAGTAATCAGATGTCCTTTATAGGACTGGTTCCACCATCTTAAAGGGTTTAATGACAGCAGAAGGTGGTCACTGACTTAGCAGGAAAAGAGGATAGTAACATTCAATATAGATTAATTTAATTACCTCCTCCTTCACCCCATTTCTGGGGGCCTGGCAATATCCAGGAAAGTTCAGCAAATGAAATTTCTTATTCTTCTACCCTTGAAATATCTGTGGCATAAAAATGAGGTCATTTTCTTGATAGGAAAATGATATCTTGCATGGTCTAAGTATTGTTTCTTCCCCTGATATAAATAAAATCAGGATTGCCATATTAAAAGTCCTAAAGGCCTTTACCTTGGACATTAGCCCTCTGGCTCAGATGCTCTAAGAAAACACTGCTATCAAAGGTCACTTCCACATTCACAAAATTGCAATTCTTAAAAACAGAGAAAAAATAATTTCCTTTTCATATGATATCAAAGTTAAGATTTCTGTTGCCATGGTGATGAGATTTTTTTTTTCCTTGCAGTGCCAGCCTTTTCCTGGCAGATGAAGTCAGTACTACAATCAATAAGAAAGCAATACTTCATTTTCTACATCCCTCTTGGGGTACGGGCTTCCAACCAAAAGCAAAGAGAGCCATATTTGATGGTCCCAAAATGTCCATGGATAGAAATTTGCATACCCAATAATAATGCCAAACTATGCCTTTATCATGCTTTGCTGAAGGATTTGATGAAAATTTATATATACAAGCCAAAAACTCACATGCATGTAAAACAATCCATAGCTCCTGTTAGTTCCTTGTCAATTTTCTTCCCTACTTTTGGCCGCCTTTAATAAGTCCTTCATGTGTCTAAATGGTTCCTTAATCAAGAACCAACTTGAGTTGAGAATTTCTTAGATCCTGAATTTTGGAATACAGTCAAGGGGCATAAACCAATCTCTTTAGAACACTGTGTCTCAAATTGTCAAGTAAACTTCTGTTAACTAGACATCTTGGTGATACTTTGTTCCATTATTATTCAAGCTGAAATCTCTCTAGCTTTTAAAAAATCATGTGATTATCTTCTGGTCATCCTGAAGCCCTAGAATTCTCTCTTCTACCACACAGAGGAAAGACTTGGTAGACAGGAACAATCATTCAAAGCTTTTCCCAATGTAATGGATGAATGGATGATATCCCCTCTTCCCATGTGTATATAATGAACAGTTGGCATTTACTCCCTGTACAATTCCACTTTAAAAATACGATGATTTAAAGAGGGTCCATGTTTATACATGTTTACCCTTCATAGCAGGAAAGTCCTCCTCTCTATGTAAAGGTCATCTCCTTCCAAAGAAAAGCAAATAGAATAATACAGAAGCAGATGGATATTTGCCAAACCACTAGATCAGTTAAATTAAATGCCTTGGTGACATCACAGGTAGATTTCTCTGGGACTAGGAGTACATATGCAAGTACAGGTAGTAAGAGGAAAGAGAACCAAGGAAGAGTCAATATGATGTGTTTACCAAACTTGCTTCTTCCTTCTTCAGGTCACAGAGCTAAACTACATTTCCAAAATTCCCTTGCAGTTAGGTGGGGCCATGTGACTGAGTTCCAGTTAATGGCCTGGATCCACACCCACCCACTCCTACCCTGCATGATGCGCCATCCACTAGCTTTCTCACTTTCCTTCAGGTAGACACTGAACTCAGCAGAGAAATGCTGATTTCAGAAGATGGCAGACCTACATTATAGATGAGTTCTGGGTCCCTAAATGACTATACGGAACATGAACCCTCTCCAGCTCACCTCCTGTCAACCTGCATTGGGCCCAGGATGTTAACAATAAATAAATTTTTATTATGTCAAACCACTGAGATTTTGGCTTTTTATTAAAGCAACTAGCATTACTCAGCCTGTCTAAAACAGGAAGCTAAATGGATACTCAAATATGGTTTCTCCTGTGAGCTTAGCCTACCTTAGGAAGCCAATAGTGTCCTGAACTAATCCTAAATTAGTTTGTATTAGGATTTTGAAGCAATTCTTGGTAGACGGACAGTGTTTATTGCCCTTTGGGCTCATGGTCCAAGGAAGTAATTTTCTTAATAGTACAAACCTGGAACTGGTGGCCAAAAACATAAATAAAAATTATCCGTATTCACTTCCCCAAACCCTCCATTCCTAAGGATAAAAAAAAAAAAAGGAACAAAACAGAACTTAACATATCACCTCTAAAAGCTGGAACCCACCCACAAATGTCATTTCAGGGCAGGATGGGAGAGGACAAAAGAAGGAGAAAGGGCCCCCTATAATATCCAATCTCTTTCAAATTATTCATTCATCATTTATATGAGGAGATTATCCTACTACAACACCACTTTTCATTTTGCAAATGTGTAGTGTGCAGACGCGCCTGGTTCGATGGGAAAGGTTTCCAAGAAAATTAAATGTCAGAGCTGCTTGGCTTATTGGTTTTGCTCTCTATAAATTCCCTTTTTAACTCAGCTTTGAATAATAACATTCCTCAGTGTCAATGTGACAAATTAGCTTCAATCTTAATGGTGTGTGAGAATCAAGAAAGCAGGCAAAGACTAGCTATGGTTCTCATCTTAGCAAGGCAGCAATAAAAAATTAACTCTAAAAGACAGCCTTTAGTGGCTCTAGGAAGTAGAGGTACATGAGGTATCAGATTTTTAAAAATAGCCTATTGATTATTTGTTCCTGTCTTTTTTTTTTTTTTTTTTGCAGCAACCGTTACTCTGATATGCATAAAGTTTAAAGCAATCTAGAAGGAAACTCTCCTGAAAGTGGATGGGAACCAGGAAACCAGTCATGTTGTCCTGTTCACTCACACTCCCTCCCTTCCTCCCTTCCTTCCTTGACAGAGTCTCGATGTGATGCCCAGGCTGGAGTGCAATGGCATGACCTTGGCTCACTACAATCTCTGCCTCCTGGGTTCAAGCAGTTCTCCTACCTCAGCCTCCCAAGCAGCTGGGATTATAGGCACCTGCCAACATGCCTAGCTAATTTTTGTATTTTTAGTAGAGACAGGGTTTTACTATGTTGGCCAGGCTGGTCTTGAACTACTGACCTCAAGTGATCCACCCACCTTGGCCTCCCAAAGTGCTGGGACTACAGGCGTGAGCCACCATGCCCGGCCCAAGACCACTTTTTATGCTAATCAGTTAGTGACAGCCTTGGAGACTCAGGCTGAGAGTTTCTCCCTGCTACTTCTCAACCCTGCAAGAGCTCCGTATAACACCAATCTATTACAGAACTTCTCATGGTTTCTAAACACTGAAGTTGGTAGTGGAAGGGTGATGGTGAAGATTGAGTTTAGGTGTAGATGCAATATTTTGTCAAAAAGATTTTAATCTTTTAAAAATCTCTCCTTCTAGTTTACATATTAAAATATAAGATAAAAGTTAAGAAAACAGTTCTGCATATGTGAATCATATTATTTTAGGCTCTCAGAGATAAAGCCTAGTCTACGTTATCTGCATATGGAGGACACACATAAGCATGTGGACTCAAAATTATTTTCCAGTAGAATAAAAGAATGTTACAACTGTGAAGGGCTTACAATCAAATATAGTACAATTCCTTCACGTTATAGTGTGAGAAGACAGGCCTGTAAAGGTTAAGTGACTTGCCCAAGGTCTGGTTTTCTGACTGACAGAAAACCAGACTGAAGAAAACCAGTGTGTTTCATATGACAGAAAACACACACACACATACACACACACATTCACATATGTGTAGGGAAGGAGAGGAGAAATGATATATATTAATTTGCATGTTAAACTCTCAGATGTCTGGAAGCAATATGATATTTAAAATATCATATCCTCAAAGCATGCATCATCCAGCAAAATTATTCTTAAAGACTTGAAACCTACAATTAGAAAAGCTTTTGCCAAGGTTTTATCAAAAGGAAATTTGGATTGGGAAGACTTATTTCCTCACATGTTCTTTCCAGGGACAATGACACAAATCAATGGAGGACACATTTCCCAGAGATATGTCACAATATGCTCTCAGACTGACATTTCTGTTTCCACTTACAAATAGACTGGGCTAAGTTTTAAACTGGGTTTTGATTCCTAAGCCTTTTCAGGATATTAAAAGTTGACCCCAGCATAGTAGCTGATGCTATGCCTTTTAAAACCAGTTTACATTACGCAGCTTTGTAGGCACGTTTCAGAGATAGGACAGTAAGGAATAAATTATGTAAGTTGCATTTATAATAGAACAGTAGTATCAGCTCAAATGGTTTCTGGGAAGTTAAGCAACACTTCTCTCTGTTAAGCAACCATTCTCTCTTTGGTACTTTGAAAGTAAGATTCAAGAATGTGTCACAAATTCATCACAAATAGTAATCAATACTGTGAAGCCACCTTTAACGGTTCCTAATGAAGTGAACAGTGTTAGTTCTAGAGAAAACAGTAACACAATGAAACAAAAGAAAATGGGTTATTTACCTTGATCACCCAGCCTGGAAATAACGTCAACTCTGTTTTTGACACTGCATCCTCTGACTGATTAGAAATGCAAGGCCCCAGCTGGGCACGGTGGCTCATGCCTGTAATCCCAGCACTTTGGGAGGCTGAGACGGGTGGATCACTTGAAGTCAGGAGTTCAAGACCAGCCTGGCCAACATGGTGAAACCTTGTCTCTACTAAAAATACAAAAATCAGCCAGGCGTGGTGGCATGTGCCTGTAATCCCAGCTACTGGGGAGGCTGAGGCAGGAGAATCACTTGAACCTGGGAGGGAGAGGTTGCAGTGAGCTGAGTTCATGCCTGGGCAACAGAGCAAGACTCTGTCTCAAAAAAAAAAAAAAAGAAAAGAAAAGAAAAGAAAAGAAACGCAAGGTCCCCAATTCATTGGCCAAAGGCAGTGGAGGCACCTGCTCATTCTTGGGTGCAAGTTTTCTGACAGCTGGATAAATCAATGAGCACTCACTGAAGTCTTGCTCCCTGCTCTACAGCCAGGGGTTGGCCTGTAGAATTTCTGGCTCTACAAACCTGACACACAGAGGCAAAATGTCAAGAAGCTTACCAACTCTCCCTTCAGCCTGCTCCACTGCAGACTCAGGTGGCCATAGAGAGTTGAGATTAGGCTACTAGATGGGTAAATGATGTCTGAGCATAGAACGGGAGAAGCCTGTAGGTACTGGACATGAAATAGTTAAACAACAGCATCTTTGGAGATAGGCAGAAGTGAAGGCAGGGTAAGAGGCAGAGGGAAATGCAGTAGTTAAACCAAAAGCATCCACATGTCCATTCAATGGGGGAAACAATTGTTTCTAGCTTGGACCCCAATTAGGAAGTTACTTTTCCCACGGAAAGAAGCTTAAAACATCTTCTCCTATTTAGTCTATTTTCAGAGCAGAGACACTTCTGGAGAATTTGTGGCAGGAAGCAAGCTTTCTAACAAATACGATAATAAAGATAATATTTTAAAAGATCTTTGATAAGGTGTATAAGTAGAATCTAGGATAAATTCTACAGACAAGAAAGAAAAATCTTATTGTTTACCATCATGGGATCAGGAATATAATGGAAAATGATCAGCAGAAAAATCAGTGTTCCACTAAACATCCCTTTACAAATTAGCTATATAATTTATGGTTTGATTAATTTATTACAGAATATATGTGGCGGGTTTGCAAAGTTAACCTACAATACATGCAACTAAATACAATTAAAAAGATGTCAACTGTAAGTGGACTTTCCTTTTGAGCCTTCATCTGCTGTTACAGAGATTAATCTGCATTTAACTGTCTTGCTGAATTAACTCATTCCTTTTCTACATCATACTTACTGATTCTCCCCAGAACACTGAGAAGCTAAAGGTAACAGGGTTTCTCTCTGGGATGCCTCCACACTGTCTGCTTTCAAGAGTCAGTTTTGTCTACAAGTCTGTTTACATCCATTTCTTTTGTTCTTTTAATTACATAATTTAAAAATACTGCCAAATGAGAAAAAAATGACTGAAGGGAGTTGTCTGTATGAAAACTAAGTTGAATGATTTGAATAGACTTAATTAAGGCAAGTTTTCTTTAACAACACTTTCAATTAGGTGTCAAGGCAATGGTAAAAAAAATTTTTAACTGTAGAAATCTAAGATTCTGCACTCAAATTTCTTCGCAAGTATCTTAAAGAGTTCTTTGCCCAGTAAAGAAAATGCAAGTAGAAATGTAGCTGATACATTAGAGGATGATTTATGCAAGAAATAAGAAGCAAAACTCTAATTGGAAAACCAATACGAAAAGAAAAAGTCTTGGCTGTGAATTAAAATATTGCTAATGTACATTTACATTAAATTAAATTTAAATGTTATATACATAAATTATTTCTGATTCTGCCTTAATCATTTTTTAAAAATTAGTTCCGATCACATCTGATGTAACAGCTTTTACTCTAAGTAAATATCCAAGCCAGCTTCAAATTTGGTCTAATAATTTAAATAGTCCCTTTAGAAAATATTCAGACTCCTGATAGCATCCCCTCTTCATATAATGGTATCTCAGTCCTCCCGGTGTCTGGTGGGGAGTTGGGAGTTACGCAGGCTGTGCCAGTTCTTTTGTCTGTACTGCCTGGCATCCACTGGCCTGCAGTAATGCCCTTGTTCCCTTATCATCATGTGCCCTTATGGTCTCTGATGGTAAAATACCAGGCTGGCCCTGTCTTTCCCTTCCTGCAATGCCCCCAAGTAGGTACGGCCATCTCCCGTTTGCTGGTTCAGCTTCCCTCAGCTGTGGCTGGCTGCAGACCCTGGAGTCTGTTCCACAGCACCATTCGGCCCTAACATCTGTTATGATGCTGCTGCTCACCTTAGCATCCCAGCTCTATGGAAACTGAGCTGCTTCACCTGGGCTTGAAGGGCCTTGCACAGGTTCCTGCCCACTCCCTGCCTCAACAAGAATGTAGGGTAGAATCTTGTGCCTGTGCCTGTGGTGTTTTCCTGAATTCCCCAGTCTCCCAACATCAAAGCTCACAGAGAACTCTGGAGATGCTACTTGTGCTCACTTCTGTCTTCTACCCCCTTTTCATTCTCTTTCCTCTCCATCCTTACCCTGGCCAGGACAGAAGCAGGCCTTTCTTTTTACATCATATCATCCTTCTTCCTGACTCCAAACTTCTTCACACTGTAAGAGAAGCCTGTGAGCTGATCCCTCCAGGCTTATCTTCTCTATATCTAAGGAGAAGATAAATATACCAAGACTTCTCACTCCCCAGTGCCACCATCTCCTACGCTGGAGTACTAAGGCCACTGTGACTTAGGAATCATATGCCTTAGGAATAAGATAAGACTTTAAGAGGAAGAGGGAAATGTATTGGTTTCATATTTATGAAAACACATTTATTGTTTTCATTTATATATTTACTTATCATTGCAAAGTGATGGTACAAACATTCCCAACTATAGGTTGAGCACCCCTAATTTGAAAATCTGAAATCCAAAATGCTCTAAAACCTGCAATTTTTTGAATGTCAACGTGACACTCAAAGATCATGCTCAAAGGAAATGCTCCTTAGAGCATTTTGGATTTCAGATTTTGGATTAGGGATGTTCTACTGGTTATATGTAAATACTTCGAAATCTAAAGAAAGTCCAAAATGTGAAACACTTCTGGCTCCCGAAATTTCAGATAAGAGATACTCAACTTGTAATACTTTTGTTATTATAAAATCTCCTCTACCTTCAGTTAAGAACTAATACCTGTTGCTATTATATATAGATGTCTGGACTGGACAGTACAGTGAGAATGCTGGCACCAGAGAGGAAAAACTGAGTTAGATGCACCACTGGCTGAAATACTATCTTCTCAAGACATATTTTGACCTGGGTGCTATTATTACACAAGAGGTATCTTCCTTGAATTCCAGAAGGCTTCATCGAAAGGAGAGGTGGATCCCACCAAGCCTCTAGCTGGGCCTTATGCTTCTGGGATGAAGGAAAAATGAGGTCTGCTTGCTGTAGCAGTTTTTCCAGCACACAATGGGCAAATAAAGACATAAGCCAATGTTTAAGGTTACTAAAACATGAAAGGAAATTGCCTTATCATGAACCTTCAAACCAGCAGACATAAAGACCTCAACGTGACATCAGTATACTATCACCTAATGATCAGGGGATTCCCAGGATTCCCTTCTCATGTTTTGCTAATGCTTAGGTGCACCCAGTGATAAACCCATACTAGAATCTCAGGCGGCTTTCTCTGAAGGGTGATACTCAGCAGGTTTTTAAAAAGAACCTACTCACATTTAAATTCAGAGCAGCTCTCCAGGGAGAAATCAAACCAATGTATTTTCCTAGATCAAAACAAAATTTCATCTTTTATATTCGACTTAGGACTATTGGTCCTGAAGGGAAAAGTTAACCTTCCTTGCCTTCAATGTAGTCTGGTTAATCGATCTACCACTGGGAAGAAAGGACTCTGCTTCCATTAAAATTGGAAAAAAAAGCCAGCATGTAGAAATTATTAATCTTGACACATCTGACAGATAAATGGCAGCTTGGTGGCAGATCAAGCCATGTTTCCCAGACAGGTTGAGATCTACAGGGCAGACTATGAGATAGGGAAGATCTGGGGCTTAATGGCAAAGATTATTGCCAAAGGCCCATTTTGGCTTAAAATATCTGTGACTCCATACTCTGGGCAAAGAGACCTCTCTGAATATTTACAATGTTTCAATGTCAACCATCTTCAAATTTTCAGGGCCTAAAGCATAAAAGCTGAAGTTTAATTTTAATCACATTAAGCTATTTGGTAATAGAATTTCTCCAGCCTGGACTCTGAACTACTTTCAGTTGACTAGCTGGTTAATCTCTGTTGCAATTACCAAAGTCCAAGATTAACATGATGATAATTAATGTCTGCTCCTCGGTTTAACTAAAATTTGTGCTTCTGAATCTCGTCTGCTAAAATTTTAATTTTCTTGGAGCATAATTACTTTTTCTCATTCCTTGACAACCCCCCATATGTTCCATTTAAATGTGCCTGAAAATCTCTTTGCAATGGGATTTCTTCATAAGAGGGCAATCAATCTCTGTCTGGGTCTGGGCTGTGGGAAGGGAAACCTTAGTGATGAAGTGACTCTAAACATTAGATCTAATTTAAAAACCATGCAGATTTTGTCCTCAAAAGGCATAGAACTAAGGAAGAAAGATGTCAACTAGAGGGAAATTAAACACACACACATACACTTTCCTGATATGGAAAAGAAGTTCATGGTAGTCACAAGGAATAATGTAGCCCCTAGTGATTGCTGGAGAAGAGTTCTCTCTTTTCCTATGATGAAGATAAATGTAGAAATCTGGAGTAATGGGGCATAGGTAAGACCACTCAGGCTCTTCTTTTCTGGGACAGGATGATGGTTCATAGATGAGCCTCCTCTATACTTTTACTGATACGGAATTATCACCTTCCTATGCTGCCCAGCTTCCTGTGTCAATAACGAGGCTGATGATGACTTTCAAGCCTACAGTTTATCTAATATGTATTATCTTTATCGAAAGACAATTGAGAAAAGGTCTCTTATTCTCCAAATAAAAATAAATCAAGCGCTTTGGGAGTGCTGTTTTTTTTTTTTTTTTTTTTTTTTTTTTTTAACACAACTGCCCAATAGCCAGTACAACATGAAAGATTAGGGGAAGCATTAATGATGTATGTGTGAAAAGCTTGTTAAAAATCTAAGAGTGAAGTTTGTGTTAAAAGTTGTTTGAAATTGGAATTTACTGGGAGGCCAAAGACTGAAAGAAGTAGAAGATTCTTCTCTCAGGACATGAGGAGTAAGTTGTATGATGATGGTCTGTGTTTTGTTTGCATGAATGAGAATTTATAAATGTTGAATTCTGGGCTCCAACAATCACTATCAAAAGAAGATCAAGCTGCAAATATTTATGTTTTAAAACTTAAATTACAAAGCTAGTTAAATCTTTCTAACAACTCATGGGAACATTTTACCAAAGTTACCATTTACATTGTATAGAAAAAGATTCATTTAAACACATATTAAATATTAGGAATTAGTTTGGGGAAAGGTTTTTTGTGGATTCTCTCATATTGCAAAAGAAAAGCTATTTGCTTCTGGGGAACTGAACTAAATTCTAATCTAGTATTTAAGACTAGAATGCTAAAAACAAAAATATGAAGGAAAATAAAACCCTTTATTATTACATTGATTTGTAAAAACATTGTTACTGGAAATTGATTGGGACTTGAGGCCTTCTTCCAGAAAAAAAGGACTTAACTGTCAGGCCTATATTAGGTTCAAAACCTCAATGCCATGTATTTGTATTTATTAAAAATTGTTTCAGTGAAAAGTATGTTGGCAGTATGAACTTCTGGTCAGTTGGAAGTTCTTCCATTTGAAAAATGCAATATTCCCACAGAACATTTTGAATTTATTTATTTTCTAGTCCCTCTCCCCCACATTAGATAGAATGAAGCTAGAATTTTCCCTTTTGATAAAAGAGCAAAAAAGAACATGTTATTTAAAAATTGATATTTAGTAACTAGTGATAAACTTGAAATACTAGAATATATTATAAGCCTTAATCCAAGGGAGTCTTATGAAAATTAATTTCTTAACTATCTTTTGAACCTATATTCATAATGGTTTTCGAGATATTTTAAGTTATATGTTTTTCTCTTTTTTTCAAAGCTGCTTCTTATATTGAGGCTACTTTTTAAAATTGAGGTGTAATTCATAAGGGGTTGCATTTTTTTTTTTGATAAGGCTTGTAAGTATGGCTAGACATTTTGCTCTAGTCTTCTAAGAAGGGCCATTTTATTTTATTTTATTTTTTTATTATACTTTAAGTTTTACGGTACATGTGCACAACATGCAGGTTTGTTACATATGTATACATGTGCCATGTTGGTGTGCTGCACCCAGTAACTCATCATTTAACATTAGGTATATCTCCCAATGCTATCCCTCCCCACTCCCCCCACCCCACAACAGGCCCCAGTGTGTGATGTTCCCCTTCCTGTGTCCATGTGTTCTCATTGTTCAATTCCCACCTATGAGTGAGAACAAGTGGTGTTTGGTTTTTTGTCCTTGTGATAGTTTGCTGAGAATGATGGTTTCCAGCTTCATCCATGTCCCTACAAAGGACATGAACTCATCATTTTTTATGGCTGCATAGTATTCCATGGTGTATATGTGCCACATTTTCTTAATCCAGTCTATCATTGTTGGGCATTTGGGTTGGTTCCAAGTCTTTGCTATTGTGAATAGTGCCACAATAAACATACGTGTGCATGTGTCTTTATGGCAGCATGATTTATAATCCTTTGGGTATATACCCAGTAATGGGATGGCTGGGTCACATGGTATTTCTAGTTCTAGATCTCTGAGGAATCGCCACACTGACTTCCACAATGGTTGAACTAGTTTACAGTCCCACCAACAGTGTAAAAGTGTTCCTATTTCTCCACATCCTCTCCAGCACCTGTTGTTTCCTGACTTTTTAATGATCGCCATTCTAACTGGTGTGAGATGGTATCTCATTGTGGTTTTGATTTGCATTTCTCTGATGGCCAGTGATGATGAGCATTTTTTCATGTGTCTTTTGGCTGCATAAATGTCTTCTTTTGAGAAGTGTCTGTTCATATCTTTCGCCCACTTTTTGATGGGGTTGTTTTTTTCTTGTAAATTTGTTTGAGTTCTTTGTAGATTCTGGATATTAGCCCTTTGTCAGATGAGTAGATTGCAAAAATTTTCTCCCATTCTGTAGGTTGCCTGTTCACTCTGATGGTAGTTTCTTTTACTGTGCAGAAGCTCTTTAGTTTAATTAGATCCCATCTGTCAATTTTGGCTTTTGTTGCCATTGCTTTTGGTGTTTTAGACATGAAGTCCTTGCCCATGCCTATGTCTTGAATGGTATTGCCTAGGTTTTCTTCTAGGGTTTTTATGGTTTTAGGTCTAACATTTAAGTCTTTAATCCACCTTGGATTAATTTTTGTATAAGGTGTAAGGAAGGGATCCAGTTTCAGCTTTCTACATATGGCTAGCCAGTTTTCCCAGAACCATTTATTAAATAGGGAATCCTTTCCCCATTGCTTGTTTTTGTCAGGTTTGTCAAAGATCAGATGGTTGTAGATATGCGGCATTATTTCTGAGGGCTCTGTTCTGTTCCATTGGTCTATATCTCTGTTTTGGTACCAGTACCATGCTGTTTTGGTTACTGTAGCCTTGTAGTATAATTTGAAGTCAGGTAGTATGATGCCTCCAGCTTTGTTCTTTTGGCTTAGGATTGATGTGGCAATGTGGGCTCTTTTTTGGTTCCATATGAACTTTAGTTTTTTCCAATTCTGTGAAGACAGTCATTGGCAGCTTGATGGGGATGGCATTGAATCTATAAATTACCTTGGGCAGTATGGCCATTTTCACGATATTGATTCTTCCTATCCATGAGTATGGAATGTTCTTCCATTTGTTTGTATCCTCTTTTATTTCATTGAGCAGTGGTTTGTAGTTCTCCTTGAAGAGGTCCTTCACATCCCTTGGAAGGTGGATTCCTAGGTATTTTATTCCCTTTGAAGCAATTGTGAATGGGAGTTCACTCATGATTTGGCTCTCTGTTTGTCTGTTATTGATGTATAAGAATGCTTGTGATTTTTGCACATTGATTTTGCATCCTGAGACTTTGTTGAAGTTGCCTATCAGCTTGAGGAGATTTTGGGCTGAGACGATGGGGTTTTCTAGATATACAATCATGTCATCTGCAAACAGGGACAATTTGACTTCCTCTTTTCCTAATTGAATACCCTTTATTTCCTTCTCCTGCCTAATTGCCCTGGCCAGAACTTCCAACACTATGTTGAATAGGAGTGGTGAGAGAGGGCATCCCTATCTTGTGCCAGTTTTCAAAGGGAATGCTTCCAGTTTTTGCCCATTCAGTATGATATTGGCTGTGGGTTTGTCATAGATAGCTCTTATTATTTTGAGATACGTCCCATCAATACCTTATTGAGAGTTTTTAGCATGAAGCGTTGTTGAATTTTGTCTAAGGCCTTTTCTGCATCTATTGAGATAATCATGTGGTTTTTGTCGTTGGTTCTGTTTATATGCTGGATTATGTTTATTGATTTGTGTATGTTGAACCAGCCTTGCATCCCAGGGATGAAGCCCACTTGATCATGATGGATAAGCTTTTTGATGTGCTGCTGGATTTGGTTTGCCAGTATTTTATTGAGGATTTTTTGCATCAATGTTCATCAGGGATATTGGTCTAAAATTCTCTTTTTTTGTTGTGTCTCTGCCAGGCTTTGGTATCAGGATGATGCTGGCCTCATAAAATGAGTTAGGGAGGATTCCCTCTTTTTCTATTGATTGGAATAGTTTCAGAAGGAATGGTACCAGCTCCTCCTTGTACCTCTGGTAGAATTCGGCTGTGAATCCATCTGGTCCTGGACTTTTTTGGTTGGTAAGCTATTTATTATTGCCTCAATTTCAGAGCCTGTTATTGGTCTATTCAGAGATTCAACTTCTTCCTGGTTTAGTCTTGGGAGGGTGTATGTATCGAGGAATTTATCCATTTCTTCTAGATTTTCTAGTTTATTTGTGTAGAGGTGTTTATAGTATTCTCTGATGGTAGTTTGTATTTCTGTGGGATTGGTGGTGATATCCCCTTCATCATTTTTTATTGTGTCTATTTGATTCTTCTCTCTTTTCTTCTTTATTAGTCTTGCTAGCGGTCTATCAATTTTGTTGATCTTTTCAAAAAATCAGCTCCTGGATTCATTGATTTTTTGAAGGGTTTTTTGTGTCTCTATTTCCTTCAGTTCTGCTCCGATTTTAGTTATTTCTTGCCTTCTGCTAGCTTTTGAATGTGTTTGCTCTTGCTTCTCTAGTTCTTTTAATTGTGATGTTGGTGTCGATTTTAGATCTTTCCTGCTTTCTCTTGTGGGCATTTAGTGCTATACATTTCCCTCTACACACTGCTTTGAATGTGTCCCAGAGATTCTGGTATGTTGTGTCTTTGTTCTCGTTGGTTTCAAAGAACATCTTTATTTCTGCCTTCATTTCGTTATGTACCCAGTAGTCATTCAGGAGCAGGTTGTTCAGTTTCCATGTAGTTGAGTAGTTTTGACTGAGTTTCTGAATCCTGAGTTCTAGTTTGACTGCACTGTGGTCTGAGAGACAATGTAATTTCTGTTCTTTTACATTTGCTGAGGTGTGCTTTACTTCCAACTATGTGGTCAATTTTGGAATAAGAGCGATGTGGTGCTGAAAAAAATGTATATTCTGTTGATTTGGGGTGGAGAGTTCTGTAGATGTCTATTAGGTCCACTTGGTGCAGAGCTGAGTTCAATTCCTGGGTATCCTTGTTAACCTTCTGTCTTGTTGATCTGTCTAATGTTGACAGTGGGGTGTTAAAGTCTCCCATTATTATTGTGTGGGAGTCTAAGTCTCTTTGTAGGTCTCTAAGGACTTGCTTTATGAATCTGGGTGCTCCTGTATTGGGTGCATATGTATTTAGGATAGTTAGCTCTTCTTGTTGAATTGATCCCTTTACCATTATGTAACAACCTTCTTTGTCTCTTTTGATCTTTGTTGGTTTAAATTCTGTTTTTTCCAAGACTAGGATTGCAACCGCTGCCTTTTTTTGTTTTCCATTTGCTTGGTAGATCTTCCTCCATCCCTTTATTTTGAGCCTATGTGTGTCTCTGCACATGAGATGGGTTTCCTGAATACAGCACACTGATGGGTCTTGACTCTTTATCCAATTTGCCAGTCTGTGTCTTTTAATTGAAGCATTTAGCCCATTTACATTTAAGGTTAATTTTGTTATGTGTGAATTTGATCTGTCATTATGATGTTAGTTGGTTATTTTGCTCGTTAGTTGATGCAGTTTCTTCCTAGCATTGATGGTCTTTACAATTTGGCATGTTTTTGCAGTGGCTGGTACCAGTTGCTCCTTTCCATGTTTAGTGCTTCCTTCAGGAGCTCTTTTAGGGCAGGCCTGGTGGTGACAAAATCTCTCAGCATTTGCTTGTCTGTAAAGTATTTTATTTCTCCTTCACTTATGAAGCTTAGTTTGGCTGGATATGAAATTCTGGGTTGAAAATTCTTTTCTTTAAGAATGTTGAATATTGGCCCCCACTCTCTTCTGGCTTGTAGAGTTTCTGCCAAGAGATCTGCTGTTAGTCTGATGGGCTTCCCTTTGTGGGTAACCCGACCTTTCTCTCTGGCTGCCCTCAACATTTTTTCCCTCATTTCAACTTGAATCTGACAATTATGTGTCTTGGAGATGCTTTTGTTGAGGAGTATCTTTGTGGTATTCTCTGTATTTCCTGAAATTGAATGTTGGCCTGCCTTGCTAGGTTGGGGAAGTTCTCCTGGATAATATCCTGCAGAGTGTTTTCCAACTTGGTTCCATTCTCCCCGTCACTTTCAGGTACACCAATCAGACGTAAATTTGGTCTGTTCACATAGTCCCATATTTCTTGGAGGCTTTGTTCGTTTCTTTTTACTCTTTTTTCTCTAAACTTCCCTTCTCACTTCATTTCATTCATTTGATCTTCAATCACTGATACCCTTTCTTCCAGTTGATCGCATCGGTTACTGAGGCTTGTGCATTCGTCACATAGTTCTCGTGCCTTGGTTTTCAGCTCCATCAGGTCCTTTAAGGACTTCCCTGCATTGGTTATTCTAGTTATCCATTCGTCTAATTTTTTTTCAAGGTTTTTAACTTCTTTGCCATGGGTTCAAACTTCCTCCTTTAGCTCGGAGTAGTTTGATTGTCTGAAGCCTTCTTCTCTCAACTCATCAAAGTCATTCTCCATCCAGCTTTGTTCCATTGTTGGTGAGGAGCTGCGTTCCTTTGGAGGAGAGAAGCGCTCTGATTTTCAGAGTTTCCAGTTTTTCTGCTCTGTTTTTTCCCCATCTTTGTGGTTTTATCTACCTTTGGTCTTTGATGATGGTGATGTACTGATGGGTTTTTGGCATGGATGTCCTTTCTTTTTGTTGGTTTTCCTTCTAACAGTCAGGACCCTCAGCTGCAGGTCTGTTGGAGTTTGCTGGAGGTCCACTCCAGACCCTGTTTCCCTGGGTATCAGCAGCGGAGGCTGCACAACAGCGGATATTGTTGAACAGCAAATGTTGCTGCCTGATCGTTCCTCTGGAAGTTTTGTCTCAGAGGAGTATCCGGCCATGTGAGGTGTCAGTCTGCCCCTACTGGGGGGTGCCTCCTAGTTAGGCTACTCGGGGGTCAGGGACCCACTTGAGGAGGCAGTCTGCCCATTCTCAGATCTCCAGCTGCGTGCTCAGAGAACCTCTACTCTCTTCAAAGCTGTCAGACAGGGACATTTAAGTCTGCAGAGGATTCTGCTGCCTTTTGTTTGGCAATGCCCCGTCCCCAGACGTGGAGTCTACAGAGGCAGGCTGGCCTCCTTGAGCTGAGGTGGGCTCCACCCAGTTTGAGCTTCCCGGCTGCTTTGATTACCTGCTCAAGCTTCAGCAATGGCAGGCACCCTCCCCCAGCCTCGCTGCCACCTTGCAGTTTGATCTCAGACTGCTGTGCTAGCAATGAGCAAGGCTCCGTGGGAATAGGACCCTCTGAGCCAGGAGCGGGATATAATCTCCTGGTGTGCCGTTTGCTAAGACCATTGGAAAAGTGCAGTATGAGGGTGGGAGTGACCCGATTTTCCAGGTGCCGTCTGTCACCCCTTTCTTTGACTAGGAAAGGGAATTCCCTAACCCCTTGTGCTTCCCAGATGAGGTGATGCCTCACCCTGCTTCGGCTCACACTTGGTGCACTGCACCCACTGTCCAGCACTCCCCAGTGAGATGAACCCGGTACCTCAGTTGGATATGCAGAAATCACCCATCTTCTGCGTCACTCATGCTGGGAGCTGTAGACTAGAGCTGTTCCTATTTGGCTATCTTGGCTCCACCCCCTGGCCATTTTATTTTTTAGGGTCACTTCTAAAGCTATATGGTCATTAACTTTGGAGACCATTTTGCATATGTGTGCTGATACAAATTAAAACCCAAGTAGACCACATTGCATGCTACCTCATTAATGTGGACAATGGAAGGAATACCTTGCCTGTAATATACCTTCACTTCTGAACTGAAAAGTTGAAGAAGAAATTTAATTTTCTTTTTTCCATAAGTCAAAAAAACTTAACAGCTAGTGTGCCCAGTTTTCTGGTTGACCTCAGCAGATGAACAGATAGTGTTAATTCAGGTTGAAGAAATGATCTGAATCTTGGTTTGTGTAGATATACAACCTACATGCAGTATTATCTAAATCAGATAGCTTTTACAAATTTCACATGTGTACATAGGCTCCCTCCAACCCTTTTCCATATTCATTAGTTACTGAACTTTCTAAACTGGCATTGAAAGATTACAATGTTTTGTTGCACCATTTTTACAAACTTATACAGTGCAACGTTATTTTTCTGAGGCAAACCAAAGCTAAGTTTCTCAAAGTTCTTGCTGCCTTCTTTTTGCTGCCTTCTTGAGCAGCATTTGATGGAGGATCTCAACTTTTTTACATTGGTGTGGTAGTCTGTTCTCATGCTGCTGATAAAGACATACCCGAGACTGGGCAATTACAAAAGAAAGAGATTTAATGGACTTACAGTTCCACATGGCTAGGGAGGCCTCACAATCATGGTGGAAGGCAAGAAGGAGCAAGTCACGTCTTACCTGAATAGCAGCAGGCAAAGAGAGAGAGCTTGTGGAGGGAAACTCCCCCTTATAAAACCATCAGATCTCATGAGATTTACTATCACAAGAACAGCATGAGAAAGACCTGCCCCCATGATTCAATTACTTCCCACCAGGTCCCTCCTGCAATACATGGGAATTGAAGATGAGATTTGGGTGGTGACACAGCCAAACCATATCAATTGGTAATAGATAAAAATAAATCAGATTGCAAGTCCTTTTTTAAAATCTTAAACCATGTACCAACTTTTTGGTCCAAATTGTGTATTATAAGTTAAACCTAAGTTGCATTCTATTAACCAATATGACTGTATTTCTGTAAGCATAGTTATGTTGAAATAAAGTTTTAAAAAGCACAAAAAAACCCCTGCCCAAAAGCACCATGCAACATTCTTTACTTAACACAAGATGTGCATAGCAAAACCATAATGAAAGTAATTTAAAAAATCTATTTCAGGGCTTCATTTTATTTCCTTTATTAGCCAAATGGTACCTACCATGTCATTATTGTCAAATTCTACTAGAACCTCATTTGTTAATAGCTACTTATGTGATTCAAAGCAGTTTTCCAACATCATTTCTAATGACTTCATAAATATTAGCCTTGTAAACAGTAAACATTTAATAATTTCTGTAAGAAGCAGGAAAAGGTAATGTTTAAGAACAGGACCCTGGAACCAGATTGTCCAGGGTCCAATCTTTGTTCTATCATTTGTAAGCTACATGCCCTTGAAAAAAATTACTTAACTCTCTATGAGTCAGTTTCCTCATCTGTAAAATGAAAACATGAGGACAATTGCATCCCTGTGAGCGTTAAATGCAAAAACCTTAGAGCAGTGTCTGGCATGCATTAAACACTATGTATGGGTTATCATTATAATCATTATCATCAAAGTATGTAAAGAATCTTTAGCAGTAAGAGTCTAGGTATGTATAAATCATGGGAACTTTTCACACCAAAAGTGGTAAATGAGACACTAAAGTAGATAAGTGAGAGACTCATTCTTGCAGGAAATTGTGAGAATGCAGCCACTGGTACTTCTTGATTCTCTAAACGTTGAATCCTCTTAAATAGAATACTTAGTGATGTATGCTTGGCTCATTTAAGAGTTAGGTTTTTTCAAAAAATGTGTAACTTAATGGAGTCCTCTCATAACTGTAACTGAATAGACATCTATTTAAGTAAATTTTATGCTCTTTTTCTTCCTGCCCCATGCAGTGCTTCTCAAATCCTTTTATAGAAGAGTCTCTAATAAAAGATGCGAGTAAACTAATATATATCACCCTAATCCCACATTCTGGAGTCCTGAGGTACAGTGGAAAGTGACCTCTCTAAGCAGGAAATGTCCCTGAAATCTCCTGTTTCATCTTTACAAAAATGTGTACTTTGAGCCCATGGTGGTGTGCACCTGTATTCAGCTATTTGGGACACTGAGGCAGGAGAATCACTTGAGTCCAGGAGTTTGAGGTTGCAGTGAGCTATGATTGCACCACTGCACTCCAGCATAGGTGACAGAGCAAGACTCCATCTCTTAAAGACACATGCATATTTTGCTTTATATTCCACAGTAGGCAATATGACTTTAATAAAAATATAATTTTAAAATTATATACTAGCAATAAAACTTGTTTATATTATTGTGCCCCTAACATCCTTAAGCAAAACTGATACTCTCTGAAAGCACATCACATGCATCCATTTATACTAAAGCTTTGCTAACTTCTTTCATGTACCTAGTATGGGTAGACAAACTATAATGTCGATACACAGATTAACAGAAAGCCAGTCATCACCATCACCATCTATCTGGTGGTGAATTATCTAAATGTCAGAGAGAGAAGTTAGGTGGAACCAATGACCCCAGGCTCACAAATGAGTAAATAAAACAATGAAAAAATATCTACTCATGACCAGCTTGCCTTTCAGTGATACATCCTGCTAACAATATCTGTTTTTAGTTGCCTAATCTTCATCACTTGTCTGAATGTTAGGAACATGGACTGGGTGATACGGGGTTTAACTATTGATTCTCTAGGGGTAGGCAAATCAAACTGACCACACCTAAGATAATGCATTTGCCAAAAAATTAAACCTCCACAATTCAGCAACAATACCTATATTTTTGAAGGCATCTATTCCTAGAAATATGTATTAACTGATATATACTGATATATCTCCTATCATACCTTGGAGATCTGTTTCTTCTTTCATTAAAAAAAGCAGTGTATTTTAACAGATTTTGATCTTTTTAAAACTCTGACTTTAATATTTTGACCATTCCTTTGTTGAAGTAAAACGATGTTTAGTGCTTGTACACCACCAATACCTAAATGCTTTTTTTTGGATGATGTCTTAGAGTGTGTTAATGTGTTTCTAAATATTGGCTACATTTTAAACTAAGTATTTTTACAATTAAAATTTTGTTACCACATTTTACTAGTTTTGGTTTAACCATGCTTTAAACCTGTGATTTTTCTTCCTTCACTCATACCTTAGCTGAGAGTTGGGAGATCCTAGAGTTTACAGCAGAGCTTTGAATAGGTAGCATCTTAGAAAATTTCAAGTTTTTTTAACTGAACAGAACCAGAATGATGGCCTAAAACATTTGGGTGGCCTCCATTGTCTTTTCTGTTTCATACAACTTAGTCCTGTGTTTGCATACGTGGACAATGTGAATATTATGGGAATATTAGTTTTTCTATAACAGTTATGTAAACTGAGCTAAAAATGCTTAGTTTGGAATTATTTCTTTTTTTTAATCTCCCAGGAAGCACACATTACTATTCTTTACAACCAGATGGAAAACAACATTAAGTCATCTCTTACCATGAAGTTTTAAGGAAATGTTATTTTAATAAAAATGAGAAAGCTGTGGTGTAAAAGTTATCCCCCTCTCCTTATCTCTCTGTTAACATCAGAGCAGTACTGAAATAATGAATGCATTGTTAATGAACCCAAGAAAATAAAAATGATAGTATCTGATCCCGCCCTTGTTTCCAGTGCATCTGCGCTGAGATCGTCTGTTGTTATTCAACCAGCTAATCACCATCTTTTGTTCGCATCACTGTGTTTTTACTCATTGGGGCTAATCTACACAGCCATCTGGTATTTGATAGATAATTGCTTTTTCTAAGTCCCACAGAGCCTGAAAAGCATCTCAGGGGAAACAGAACTAGATACATTCTTCTCAGGTAGAGCAACAACTAGAGCCAAGATGGAGGGAAGGCTACAGTGGTAATTTTCAACTGGGGTACACATTTTGTCCCCGGTTATAATAAATCTGGAGTTACATGGGAAATGATAGCTTTGATAATATTCCATAGTATGATTTGTTCTAGAATCTGCTTCCATTTTCCCTGGCAGCATCTCCTTCCACAACAACTGAATCAGCCAGCATCTCTAGGGCTGAGGCTCAGAAATCTGCAGCATTCACAAGCTCTCTCATGTGATTCCACCGCATAGTCCAGACACTAGGAATAAAATAATGAACAACACAGTCCCTTTGCTGTATAGATATTTTAGAGTTCTGTTTATAATAGGATTTTGTTTACAATAATTACTTTTCTGACTACAAAAGAAATACATGCTTACTGAAATACAGAAAGTCCAAAGATGAGTACACAACTATATCATCAAGTGATAAACAAAGTTAATATTGCATACTGCTATGGTTTGAATGTGACCCCAAAGTTCATTTGTTGGAAACTTAATCCCCAATGTAACAGTGTTGAGAAGTGGGACCTTTAAGAGGTGATTAGGCCACAAGGGCATGAATGGATTAATGCTGTTATCTTGGGAGTAGTGTGTCTGGAATTGGTGGGTTCTTGGTCTCACTGACTTCAAGAATGAAGCCACAGACCCTCACGGTGAGTGTTACAGTTCTTAAAGATGGTGTGTCTGGAGTTTGCTCCTTCTGATGTTCGGATGTGTCCAGTGTTTCTTCCTTCTGGTGGGTTCGTGGTCTCGCTGACTATAGGATTGAAGCTGCAGACCTTCACGTGAGTGTTACAGCTCATAAAGGCGGCGCATCCAGAGTTGTTCCTTCCTCCCGGTGGGTTTGTGGTCTCGCTGGCCTCAGGAGTGAAGCCGCAAACCTTCACGGTGAGTCTTACAGCTCATAAAGGCAAAGTAAACCCAAAGAGTGAGCAGCAGCAATATTTATTGCAAAGAGCGAAAGAACAAAGCTTCCACAGTGTGAAAGGGGACCTGAGTGGGTTGCCGCTGCTGGCTCAGGTGGCCAGCTTTTATTCCCTTATTTGGTCCCACCCACATCCTGCTGATTGATTCATTTTACAGAGAGCTGATTGGTCTGTTTTACAGAGTGCTGATTGGTCCGTTTTACAGAGTGCTGATTGGTCCTTTTTTTACCAAGTGCTAACTGGTGTGTTTACAATCCTTTAGCTAGACAGAAAAGTTCTCCAAGTTCCCACCCGACCCAGAAGCCCAGCCAGCTTCACCTCTCAGTAGGTTCCTAAGAAAAGGATGTGTTCAATCCCCCTCGCCTCCCTCTCTCTCCCCTGATCTCTTGCCCTTCAAGCCTTCCGCCATGTGAAGATGTAGCAAGAAGGCCCTCACTAGATGTGAGCCCCTTAACTTTAGACTTCTCAGCTTCCAGAATTGTAAGAAATATATTTTTCCTTATAAATTACCCAGTCTGTGGTATTCTGTTACAGTGTGTAAACCAAAAATAAAATCCTACTTGCCCCCACAACTGACTGAATAGGCCCCCTTGTGGCCAAGGCAACCCCATAAAAATCTTAAAACTGAGTTCCCAGCCAGGATGGGATGGGAGGCCAGACATGCCTCATTACATCCCTTCCCTTTTTCAGTTTAGACACAACTGGCCAGCATTAATGTCAAAACAGAGATCATAAGACTGACAAAACAGACTCTCTGTGGCACTAAGATACCAAATTATAAACAGGACGTAAGGCCATGACAGGAAAGGGTTAAGTCACACACTCCTACCCTTGGAATAAACTGAGAGGTGACAGTGTGCTGGCAGCCCTCACTCGCTCTCGGTGCCTCCTCAGCCTCGGTGCCCACTCTGGCCACACTTGAGGAGCCCAGCCCGCCGCTGCACTGTGGGAGCCCCTCTCTGTGCTGGCTGAGGCTGGAGCCAGCTCCCTCTGCTTGCGGGAAGGTGTGGAGGGAGAGGCGCGGGTGGGAACTGGGGCTGCATGCGGTGCTCACGGGCCAGCGCAAGTTCCGGGTGGGTGTGGGCTCGGCGGGCCCCACACTCCGAGCGGTCGGCCGGTGGCACTGGCCCCGGGCAGTGAGGGGCTTAGCACCTGGGCCAGCAGCTGCAGAGGGTGCACCAGGTCCCCCAGCACTGCCGGCCCACCCGTGCCATGCTCGAATTCTCGCTGGGCTTCAGCCGCCTCCCCGCGGGGCAGGGCTTGGGACCTGTAGCCCACCATGCCCAAGTCCCCCCACGGTGGGCTCCTGCACGGCCCGAGCTTCCCTGACGGGCACCACCCCCTGCTCTGCAGCCAGTCCCATGGACCGCCCAAGGGCTGAGGAGTGCGGGCGCACAGCGCGGGACTGGCAGGCAGCTCTGCCCATGGCCCTGGAGCAGGATCCACTAGGCAAAGCCAGCTTGGCTCCTGAGTTGGGTGGGGACTTGGAGAACTTTTATGTCTAGCTGGAGGATTGTCTAGCTGGAGGATTGTATATGCACCAATCAGCACTCTGTGTCCAGCTCAAGTTTTGTAAACAGACCAATCAGCACTCTGTGTCTAGCTCAAGGTTTGTAAACGCACCAATCAGTGCTCTCTCTAGCTAATCTAGTGGGGACTTGAAGAACTTTTATGTCTAGCTAAAGGATTGTAAACACACCAATCAGCATTCTGTGTCTAGCTCAAGGTTTGTAAATGCACCAATCAGTGCACTGTGTGTAGCTAATCTAGTGGGGACTTGGAGAACTTTTATGTCTAGCTCAGAGATTGTAAATGCACCAATCAATACCCTGTCCAAACGGACCAATCAGCTCTCTGTAAAACGGACCAATCAGCTCTCTGTAAAATGGGCCAATGAGCAGGATGTGGGTGGGGTCAGATAAGGGAATAAAAGCAGGCTGCCTAAGCCAGCAGCAGCAACCCACTCAGGTGCCCTTCCACACTGTGGGAGCTTTGTTCTTTAGCTCTTTGCAATAAATCTTTCTGCTGCTCACTCTTTGGGTCTGTACTGCCTTTATAAGCTGTAACACTCACCGCGCAGGTCTGCAGCTTCACTCCTGAGGCCAGCGAGACCATGAACCCACCGGGAGGAATGAACAACTCTGGACGGGAGGAAGGAACAACTCCAGACACGCCGCTTTAAGAGCTGTAACACTCACTGCGAAGGTCTGCAGCTTCACTCCTGAAGCCAATGACACCACAAACCCACCAGAAGGAAGAAACTCCGAACACGTCCGAACATCAGAAGGAACAAACTCCGGACACACCATCTTTAAGAACTGTAACGCTCACTGCGAGGGTCCACGGCTTCATTCTTGAAGTCAGTGAGACCAAGAACCCACCAATTTTGGACACAAAACTCTTTATTTATGAGTAAAATAAACGATTTTTTTCCAACTTCTATTTTTAGTTTACGGGTGCATGTGCAGATTTGTTACATAGGTAAATGTGTGCCATGGTGGTTTGTGTACAGATTATCCCATCACCTATGTATGAAGCCCAGCATCCATTAGCTATTCTTCCTAATGATGCTCTCCCTCCTCCCAACCCTACCCTCCAACAAAAACTATGTTTTAATTGTCACAAGGTTTTTATTTTTCCCTAGCAGCTACAAACACTGGCCTTGATATAAGCAACATTAAAACAATTACAACTCATCCAGCTCACAGATGCTAACTGAACCCCTGTTCTATCAGCCATAAATACAGCTTTATTGGACAAGACTGATTTCAGTAACTTTCTCCTGATGAGAAGACCACCAACCATGGACTGATTCTGGCTGGTTCACAGATGTTGCCCACTTGGGTGCCTTCATGCCCTGAAAAGACCTTTGGACATATAGGGCCTAATTGTAATATATTTAAATGTTAAGTGTCCACCCCAAAGTGAACATAGGTGTATGTTACATGCATTTTGTCTAATACACATGTGTTAGGACCACCTTCATGAATATTCATAGCCCCCTCTGTAACCTGTTCAACATGTATGTTTAGCCAACCTGTTTAACATAAAGCTCCTATCCCAAACGCACCTCCTCCGAAGTGGGTCTTGGTCAGAGGCAGGCTTCTCAGCCTGCGGGATGGTCATCTTGCAAGCTATAATTCTTAAGAAAAAATAAAGTCTCCTTTTTCTAAATTTATAAACTGTGTGTTTTTTAAGGTGCCAAAACAGACTGAAACACACATAAACCTGCAAATACTTCTTTTTCCAAAAAGTGAGATATGCACAAAACAGTCTATAGTCTTTTTTTTTCTCCACTTACCAATATGTCATGAGGAGTTTTTAATGGGACATTGTCTTTTTATAGATCTGTAATCTGTCTTACAGTATATAATTTTAAAATGCTCTTCTCTGTCACTTCGAATCATCCAATGTGTGGTGCATTTAAGTCTGCCCAGGCCTAATCTCCCTTTGGTATTTAGTCCCTCAGGAGGATCTCAAGAGCTGCCTTTTAGGTTCCAAAGGAGAACATAAGCCTTCACAAAGCCCCTCCCTCACCAGGAAAGGGTGGTCTGAAGATTCTCCTCAATCCATGCCTTACAGCCACTCTGCTCTGCTTCTCTTTTGAGCCTGAAGAGTGATACAGAAATACACCATGTAAATAGAGATGTTTCTTTATAAGCCTGTAGTCTTTCTGGGTGTTCAATGATGACACAGAAGAATAGCTTCTAAGAGAATCAAATGGCATTTCATATAATTTATTTTTAATAAGTATTTATATTCCTTGGATCAAAGGCAGGTAGTGTTTATACTTTGTTACTGTAAGTGTACAAATGTGTAAAAAATATTTTCCCACTAGATAATGTACATTCTCCATCTGTGTAGCTATGCACTTTTTTCAATATGATGCTCTGGTTGGATACATTAATGCTCTCCCATGTGGACTTTAAATTATGTACATTATTAATGTTTTTTTCAATAAAAATGAGACCTCTCTTGTGAACATTTAAAGTTCACAAAAGAAGTGACTCTTCTATCATTTAAGGTGCACAAGAACCCCTTAACATTATCTCATTCAAGGGTCACAAGAGGCCCCTAACATAGCCAGGGTTGTCATACTTAGCTGCAAGATCTTGCCACAGTCACCACTGTGTCAGCAGTGCCAAGCGCAGTGTCTGGTACACAGGATTCATGAACAGCTGAACAACATCAGGTTAAGTGTTTTGACCACATCATGTGGACAGTAAGATGCCAGAGTAAGGATGCTCCCAAACCTAAGATTCTCACTACAAGTTCAGTGTTGCTTCTACTATATCGCACTGTCTCCTGCCATTCCAGCTCCAATACAAAGATTTTCATTCAGACCCACCAATCATATGACACAGGGTATTCTGTGTCCAGCTGAGAGACTCCCCACTTATTCAAATTATCAGGCTCAGGAGACAGGCTAGGCTAGAAACTGTGTTAAAGCATCGGTGTGTGTTCAATTACCTGAAGAACTATCCTTAGTCAGAGGTGTTCAGTCAAGTCAGTAAGAAATCCTGGCTCCCATCACCCTTGCTGTGACTTGACACTTGGTCTTGTCTGCTGAGATTAATAAAAGTATTCTTGTTATATAGTAGAAAACGGCACTAAAAATATAGTCCATGTGAAGGCAGACACATAGAGATGGTTGTGACAACTATTCTATAAATTGATCTAAGAGTCCAATTCTACTGCTTACAAAGAGAAAACAATATTATGAAGAGTTAATCAGACTGTGTATCTTTGATAGGAAGTTATAAAATGGAAACCTAGGTAAGGGCAACTAGAAATAGGCAAGATCCTAGCTCGGAATATTGTGAAAACCGAAAATCAGGAACTTGAGACTGAGACAAGTAGCTGTCAGAGAACAACCAAGTGTGGAACAAACTGGGGCCTTCACCAGCAGCCTAAGCTGTGGGAAACTTGGTAGCTAGGGATGATTTCAATGCAGAGGGAGGAGAAAGATGACAATAAGAGGAGGATGCTACACCCAATGGCAAAATTATCAGAAGACTCATAGATTCAGGCCCCTGAGCATCAACTCTCCCACCTCTCAGTGAGGCACGGAGGTCTAAAATATCCTCCCTCTCTCCATAGTCTTCAAGGCTGCAGCTGTAGTTCATTTACATCTGATTTTCTGGTAGAGAAAGGTTTAGGGGGTTAGAGGAATGAGTGTGAGCCCCTGTATAACTGTCTCCAAGGCACAGTCCCCACTAGCCTGGCTAGGGCAAACAAGAGCATCTCTCCTTCCTCTACCCCTCTGCTGTCCACCACAATAGCTATTATCACTCATGATTCTCTGCTGTCCTCATTACACCCTCCTTGACCCCTATGGTATATAAGGACTATTTGGACAATGCACCCTTCAGTGGCATAAGTTGGTTGGACAACACCATGCCATCCCAGGGAAACGTGTAGTTCCCACACTTCTCTTGGCTGTTGCCTTCCACTCTGTCCTGCCTCTTCCCCACTGGACAGGGAAGACAATGGCCAGTATATAAGTTAATTTACTCTAGGGGGGATGGAGAGAGGAAAAAGAAAGTAAGGCAAGAAGCCCGTAGCCCATCTCAGAAAAAAGGGTTCCCCAACCTGTCCTCTGCTTTCTGAGTCTCTTTCCCTCATGAATATTTATGTGTAGCTCTTTAGCTTGGCACTCTCTGGGAGATGGCAGCTGAGAGGCTCAAGACTGTGGCCAGTAAAAGCAACGGAGAACTGACAGGCATGAAGTTAGAAAGCAAGCAACAGACATTAAACTCAAATTCCTTAGATGCAGACTTCCTACTAAAATCTATATGGGGTGGGAGAAAACCCCAGCCCCAGATGTTACTATTATGTCCATGTTACCTTTTGGAAACCACATACCCAGCAAACTGTTTCATATGCTGCCAGAAATAAACAAACAGAATGCAGCTGGGAACTCTGAGCTGTGCTACTCTGCAAATCATTTTACTGCATACAAATGACAGCTATTATATAACTGGGATCCCCCAGGGAAATAATTTCTATTCCCAACTCCGTTTATAACCTGATGAATCAGTTGAGGCCAGCAGGTTGAAGCAGTGTATTAATGAAGCCAAGGGCTCAGAAAAGATGCTCTGGCAGACCTGGATATTTTGCACAGTAAAGACCTGCTTTCCCAAGACCACATCCTGTAATCTTAAAGATCTGTCTTGCAAATGTGTGCTGGACATAAGAAAGCTGAACAGAGGGCATTAATGGCTCTGGAAGACAGAACCCACTACTGGAGAAACAATTCAGAGATAAAAAGTGACCAGGACACACTCCTGTCTTTAATCTGACTCCCACTTTAGGAATCAGGGTCACTGTTACCACTGTGTAATGAGAGCATTTTTCATCTTGGTCTGCTCACTCAGGCTGACTAGTATCATGTTCTTTTCCTTGTCTCTAATAGTTCCCCTTCCCTTTTAGGTCCAGTTTCTAACCTAAAGTAGTTGCAAACAAAATAATAAAGCAAGTCAATAAGGTTCCAAAGGAGGACCTATAGAGTAAACAAATGGTTTTAATGCACAAGCTTTGTGATAGTAGAGATCTCCTTCTATTCTGGGTTCAAAGCTTTGTAGTGGGATACCAAGATTAAAGAGATCAACCTTTTGTATATATGAAAAAAAAAAAAGTCTAGGATTCAATGCTCCACAAGTACAGCTATTTAGGATAGTCTTAAGTACTCTTCAGTTTAGAATACACTCATATCTTTAATCAGTTCCCTATTTTTGCTATATGTCTAGCAGGTTAAAAAACTATCAACTTGAGTATTCCCAACCTCATTTCCACCACCCCCAACTTCACTCTAGGTTTCAATGTGCCTGTGTGGCTCCTGACCTTTTCTGAATGCTGATTTAGAAACTGGGGCCAAAAACGAGGTAACAACAGCACCTGAAGACACTTAGCCAGGTTTTCGAGGAGCTCTTTGGTTGGGGGTTGGCAAACAGACAGAAAGACACAGTTGGCAGAGCTGCCATGTGTGTTGAATGCTGTGAGTATCAGAAATGGCGAGACAAGATTTCAACAAGTTCTGTTATAGGTGAAAAATACACCCTCTCACTTTGGGCTTTTTTTTTTTTTGAGGGAATGAGTAAAAGTTATTTTTAATCATATTTTTCTGCCACACAGTTGTTTCTTTGAACATATCACTGGAAAGAATCAGGACTCAATGGAACCCCAGTTATATTTTCACATTTTTGTTTTTATCTAACAAAATAATAATAGTTAACATTTATTGAGCACTTACCATATATCATTTATTCATTCAATAGCTATTAATTGAACACCTATCTACTATGTTCCAGGCACTATTCTAGGCATTGGAGATACAACAGAACAGGACATGAAAGGTCCCCGCCTCATGGAGCTTATTTTCTAAGGAGAGTACAGAGACAATAGACAAATATACAAGAGGCAGAAAGAGTGACAGAGTGGCTACTTTAGACTGAGTGATGAAAGAATGCCCCTCGAGGATGTTAAGGTGAGAGCTGATGGTATGAAGAGGCCAGCCATGTAAGATCAATGGACAAGCATTCCAGGAAGCAGAAACTGCATGTACACAAGTACCAATGCAAGTACTTGAAGTGTTAAAACAGAAGGTTGGTGTGGCTGAATCAAAAGGGCCTGGTACAAAATGGTGCCCAAGGTAGAGGCGGGACCAGATCATGTGGGGTTATGCAGGCTTGGGCTTTATTCAATATGCCAAAAATTGAGAAGTCACTGGAGGATTTTAAGCAAGAAACCGATATGATAGAATGTTCATTTTTAAAAGATCATATTGGCAATAGGTACAAAACTGCTTTTGAAGATTGCAGGGAGGGGTGTGTAAGCAGGAGGGCCAGTTAGGAGGCCATTACAGGGGCTCAGGTGACAGTGTAATATCAATGTCAGACATCATGCTTTGCATCAAATCTTTAAACCACCCCCCAAAGAAGTCTACAAAATTGCACAAGGACAAAGGCTTGGAACCAAAGGTGGTGCTGGACTGACCCAGATACCAGATACATAAGAAGTGGAGCAGGATGGCTGGGCTGAGTGGCTTGCAGAAAGTAGGCAGATAGGTCCTCAAAGTCAACAGAGGTTTGAAGGCACAGATAGGTTAGCAGTGACAGCAAGGAATTGCCAACTGATTAGATCTACCCTGGGAGAAGCTCCATCAATTTTTCTGTAAATGGAAAGCATTTGAAAGTGGCAGCCCAAGGTGGCCAGGCCAGCCTGGCTATGCCCTATTGCAATAAACCTGGCCCCAGCATCCAAGGCTAAAATATTTAACCTAAACCTGGAGAAGCAGCATTCAATCTGAATGAGTCCTAGGACTCAGTGATTTCAAAAACACAGCGTGGAACTTAGGCCTTGTCTGGTTCCTGACAGAGGAACAGAGAACATCATTTAGACCCAAGGCCAGCTCCTTAGGTGTGCCTATGTTGAGGTCTGGGAACACACACATGTTCTCACAGTCTCACACCCAGACCCACTAACCAAGGAAACACTGCTATTGGTTCCTCATGTGATTCCACTGAGCAGCGTCAGTTCCTCTTCTCGCAGCAGCGCCGCTTTCTAGAACCAGCTCTGGGGACTTTAACTGAGGCTGAGTGACCCACAAAAGGAGCAGCAGCCCTAAAGGAAGCCTGCCTACCTGGAGGGTGCCTTCTGCCTCAGATGGGCCAGAAAGCCAGCCCCCTCTTAAGCACACCACAGGAAAATCCTGTAGTCCTCCACAAAGAAGGCGTCTGTCAACAAAGAAGGTGACTGTGAACCTAGCATGTGCTGTTTGATTCTGGCCTCTCCCCATGCTTCTCAACATGGATTCTTACTTGCTGTGACATCAGGAGCCAAGCCATTACATTCTCTCTGCACCTTTGCTGGGTCCTCTTAAACAAAGCAGGACAAAACAGAAAGAGATTTCACATCGTTTATGAAGAAAATTTCAGAAAAAGTGAAAATGAAAACAGAAGGGATACAGGATGGGCATAGAGTAGCAGTTAAAGAAGAGAGGTCCTAGAGCAACACTGCCTGGCTTCAAGTCCCAGATCTGCCACTAACAGTTGTGTGACCTTGCATAAGTCATTTAACGTCTCTGTGACTCAGCTCCCTCATCCGCAAAATGCAGATAACAACAATATCCGCTCACAGGGCTATGAGAAGTAAGTTAACATGAACATGTGGAACAGTCCCTGGCCCAGAGTTAGAGGTACGTATGGGTTATCATCATCATAGTGGGCTTCTTAAATCTGAACGTAAACCTGTAGTGCTGCTCCTGGAAAAAATTATACCAGAAAGACACTGAGTAAGGTGCAAGAGCCCTCAAAGATCAGGTCATCAAAGGGGTGGATCCTTTGCAGTGAACGGAGGAAAGTAAGTTAGCTACTCAGAGCATGGATAAATGCAGCCAAAGAGAAGAAAGAGAAATGCACAGATGACAGATGTATTAATGTTTTAAAACAGCTAAATTCCAGGGGAATGGGCCATGGAGACTTACCTAACTAGATTAGCAAAACTAGAATAAAAACTAGTTTATAGTTGGAAAACCATGAAGTATATCATAGTGATAAATTCCTACTCATCACTATCGACTGGTGTGATAAGGGACACACAGAGCAGCTCGCCTACTTCCTTACAATAGTGGGGAATCATAGAGGATGATCTATCAGAAACCAAGGATGTCATGAGTGAAGATGTGGGGAGACAATGAATATAATGTTTTCCCTTTTTATATGGAAAGCCTGCATTTTTGCTGTCCTTCTCTGGGTGATTCATCACATTCACCAACAGATATAGCATGCTTGTGACATTTTCCCTGAATGGGAAAGAGTGGGAATTTTTACAGCCTGCTAAACACATATACATGGCCTGAGCTGTTATTCTGCTGTGTTAGCCACCTGTTCACAAACCTTGATTGGCAGCTGGATGACAGTAGCCAGCTGTGGGAAAGGCCAAAGGAGACAGTAACCATGGACATTTAACTTTGTGATAGCTCCTCTCATGACTGACTATTTAACTAAATTAAATCTCCTGTCCCTCATCCTTGAGATGCTGAGTTCTCCAAGTACTGCTGGAAGATGGACAGTGCTCCTTCACATCTCCCGCCACAAACACTGCACACACTTAGGCTCAGGAAGGGGACTGCATGCCAAAGTTCAATCACACTTCACTATGCATGGCAGAATGATGGGCAGTTTCTCTTTGACTCTGGCATTTTTTGATTTTCTATGAAACAAATGTCAAAGATGTGAAAGAAGTAAAAGGTTTGCTTCCTTAAGTCGACCTACGTCACAACAATTTCTTTCTTTTCTTTTTTTTTTTTTTTTTTTTTTTTAGACAGAGTCTCACTCTGTTGCCAGGCTAGAGTGCAGTGGCGCGATCTCGGCTCACTGTGACCTCCGCCTCCTGGGTTTAAGTGATTCTCCTGCCTCAGCCTCTCAAATAGCTGCAACTACAGGCACATGCCACCATGCCTAGCTAATTTTTGTATTTTTAGTAGAGATGGGGTTTCACCATGTTGGCCGGGATGGTCTCGATTTCTTGACCTCGTGACCCGCCCACCTTGGCCTCCCAAAGTGCTGGGATTACAGGTGTGAGCCACCACACCTAGCCCATCTAACCAGTTTCTAAGATACATGAGACACCACAGAGATAAATATGGAGGGCAGAACCCAACTCTGTTTTTTTGTTTGTTGTTGTCTGAATCTGTTATATAAAAAGGAGTTAAAAGGACTCACAGGATTGTTAAGAGGCTTAAAGGAGATAACCCACTTGTCTAGTACCTGGCATATGGCAATGCAGGCTTTACTCCAAAAAGAAGGGTTAATCTGTTCAGTCTAAAGAGACTAAGCACTCAAAAGGCCATGTTGTAGTCTGCAGTGCTAGCACTAACCAGCCTTTCAACAGAGTCACACTCAGCTAATTGTTATCCAGAACCGGGGGAGCTCATTCCCCTGGCTTACACACACCCTGAGAGAGCTATATTCAACAGGATACACGTAAATCCTCATTATAACTGATGGCTTGGATCATCAGAGTGACTATTACACTGAATGCTTACTATATTCTTTAATGCAGATAAGAGTTTAATATAAAGTAGCTCTGTTTTAGGCACCCTCCAAGAGAACTTGCTATCCTTAACTTGTTAAAAGTACTCTTAAGCAGAATACCATTCCTTCCATGGGTCTCAAGCACCAGTTTATGGCCACATGTTCTAAAATGGGTCCAATTTTCTCTAAGTGAGAAAAGGGTGTCAAGGAGAGTGAGAACTTAAAATCTGAGCAAGAGTTTACTTTTCCCAAACTTATAAGACTCAGGTTTAATTTTGTGGTAATAACTACAGACTTGTTAAATATATATGTGTGTGTATGTGTACACACATAAAGGTAGCTTGTCTTTAATTATATTCAACCACTCTTCCAAATATTGTTATGATCTACATAGAAACTTTGTCTTGACCAGTAACTTTTCCCTCCAATTAAACTTTTGAAAAATAGAAGTAGACAGAAAAGCCCAGTTCTAGTCCTGGTCTGTAGATACCTTAAATACTTAACAGAAAAGAAGAGAAAAAGACATGACTGGGTTGAGGCCAACATCTTTTTTGGAAAACTGAAGTTAAAAACGGTAGCAAAGATATTAACAAATCTAACATGCAGCAGACACATACATGTATAACATATCTAAAACCTGGATATCCAGGTACTCAAGTAATATTAAGAATGATTGGTAAACATTCTAGCCAGACTGTTCCAGGAAATTATGTTGCAGTAACAACCCCAATATCTCATTACTTTAAATGACAGAAATTAATTTCTTGTTCATGTTTTATACTTAACATCAGGTAGCTGGGGGCTTTGCTCATCATAGGCACTCAAGGGACCCCCGGTGAATTAAGGCTTCACATGGCTTCCACAATCCCAGTGGCAGAGAAAAAAAGGGGAAAACAATGATTCACACACAGGCTCTTAAAAGCTTCCACCTAGAAGTGGCATATATCCACTTGGGCCCACATTTCATTGGCCAGAGTAAGACACATGGCCATACCTAACTGCAAAGGAGGCAAGGCAGTACAGTTCTGCCACACGCTTAAAAGGCACAGAGGTGGACATTTTTGTACATCACAAATGACAATCTTATATAAGAATCCTGCATTGTTCTTTCTCATCTGTTATCTCATTCGATTTCTACTCCACCCTTGTAGTTTGGGTTCTATCTGCATCCCATTTTACAAACAAAAATAGCCAAGCCTCAGAGAGATTAAGTGACTTGCTTAAATCACATAAATAGTAAGTCAAACAGCTTTTGGAATTCCATATTATAATATTCCAGTTAAAAGGCTATTGTGGTACAAATCTTTGCTCTCATAGTTTGAAGTACATTCTAACTTGTTATTTGTACTATTCATTAAATGTTATCTGATGCTACTCATCTCTTCCTATATACTATACATGTACGGTATCTCTAAATTCTGTGCTTCCTGAAGATATATTGTCACATAGTTCCTTGCATTCGCCACAGTATCTCAGCTACTGCAGAGACATAAAAGGCAAATATTTGTAAGGTTGTCTTAGTTGATTTGTAAAACACCTACAGAATCACTATTTTCTGAACACCAAGCCTGTACTTTGAGTATCTCAGGAGAAAGAAGTTAACTAGAAAAATTAAGTGTAGGCCTGGGCAACATAGCAAAACCTTATCCCTACCAAAAAGAATAAATAAATAAATAAATAAATAAAAGAAAAAATAAAAACAAGATTGAAACTGGACCCTCACCTTACGTATTATACAAAAATAAACTCAAGATGGATTAAAGACCTAAATGTGAAACCTAAAGCTATAAAAACTCTGTAAGATTACCTAGGAAATAATATTTTGGATATAGAATCTGGCAAAAATTTCATAACAAAAATGCCAAAAGCAATTTCAGCAAAAATTGATAAATGGGACCTAATTAAACTGAAGAGCTTTTGCACAGCAAAAGAAACCATCAACAGAATAAACAGACAACCCACAGAACGGGAGAAAATATCTGCAAACTATACATCTGACAAAGGTCTAATATCCAGAATCTACTGAAACAAATGTACAAGCAAAAAACAAACCCATTGAAAAGCAGGCAAAGGATATGAACAGGCCCTTTTCAAAAGAAGATATACATGTGGCCAAAAAGCATATGAAGAAATGCTCAATATCACTGATCATTAGAGAAATGCAAATCAAAATCAAAATGAGATACCATCTCATATCAGTCAGAATGGCTATTATTAAAAACTCAAACAATAACAGATGCTGGTGAGGCTGCCAAGAAAAGGAAACACTTGTACTCTGCTGGTGGGAGTGTAAATTAGTTCAGCCACTGTGGATGTGGTAATTCCTCAAAAAACTAAAAACAGAACTACCATTCGACCCAGCAATCCCACTACTGGGTATATACCCAGAAGAATATAAATCATTCTACCTTAAAAACACATGCACACATTATGTTTATTGCAGCACTACTCACAATAGCAAAGACATGGAATCAACCTAGATAGCCAACAACAATAGGCTGGATAAAGGAAATGTGGTATATATACACACCATGGAATACTATGCAGCCATAGAAAAGAATGAGATCACTTCTTTTCCAGGAACACAGATGGAACTGGAGGCCATTATCCTTACCAAACGAATGCAAGATCAGAAAACCAAATACCACATGTTCTCACTTATAAATAGGAGCTAAATAATAAGAACACACGGACACAAAGAGGGGAACAACAGACACTGGGGACTACTTGAGAGGAAAGTGGAAGTGGGGAGAGGTTCAGGAAAAAAGTACCCAGGTGATGAAATAGTGTCTATACTGAACCTCCTAGTCATGAGTTTACTTATATAACAAACCTGCACATGTACCTCCAAACCTAAAATGAAAGTTAAAATAATTTTTTTTAATTATTATTATACTTTAAGTTTTACAGTACATGTACACAACGTGCAGGTTTGTTACATGTGTATACATGTGCCATGTTGGTGTGCTACACCCATTAACTCTTCATTTAGCATTAGGTATATCTCCTAATACTATCCCTTCCCCGTCCCCCCACCCCACAACAGTCCCCAGTGTGTGATGTTCCCCTTCCTGTGTCCATGTGTTCTCATTGTTCAATTCCCACCTATGAGTGAGAACATGCGGTGTTTGGTTTTTTGTCCTTGCGATAGTTTGCTGAGAATGATGGTTTCCAGCTTCATCCATGTCCCTACAAAGGACATAAACTCATCATTTTTTATGGCTGCATAGTATTCCATGGTGTATATGTGCCACATTTTCTTAATCCAGTCTATCGTTGTTGGACATTTGGGTTAATTCAAGATGGATTAAAGACTTACATGTTAGACCTAAAACCATAAAAACCCTAGAAGAAAACCTAGGCAATACCATTCAGGACATAGGCATGGGCAAGGACTTCATGTCTAAAACACCAAAAGCAATGGCAACAAAAGCCAAAATTGACAAATGGGATCTAATTAAACTAAAGAGCTTCTGCACAGCAAAAGAAACCACCATCAGAGTGAACAGGCAACCTACAGAATGGGAGAAAATTTTTGCAACCTACTCATCTGACAAAGGGCTAATACCCAGAATCTACAATGAACTCAAACAAATTTACAAGAAAAAAACAAACAACCCCATCAAAAAGTGGGCGATGGATATGAACAGACACTTCTCAAAAGAAGACATTTATGCAGCCAAAAAACACATGAAAATTTTTTTTTAAAAAACGAAAAAAAAAGTCTACTAATTTATTGTTTTGGAGAACTTAAGACTACTCCATTTGGAGATGTCCTCCATATACCACCTTCATTTACAAATACAAAGTTTTGTATTTGTAAATACATGGTGTGTGTAAAGTGCCTGCAAAGTGTGACTATATATATATGTGCTTCCCTTTTCCATCACATCAAATCACGTCACACACTACAGACAACACATCATTCTTACTATATACAACCATTGCCCATTTGCAGACTTCGGTTTGCCTTTGTTTTGACACTGAAAGTTCCTCTTTGTGAATTCACTAAAAGTCATTTTTCCATCATTAAGTCATTTCCATAATTTCCCCAAAGGCAGATTTTTTCTGAAAACCCTGGAATGAATGTAGTGCTCCTGCACAGGGCAAGATTGGAAGGATCAAAAGCCAAGTGCTTAATTAGCACCAGAGTCTGAATAAAAAGGAGAAGTGATAATGGTGAAACCAGTTTCCTGATAGCTTGTCTGATCTGTCTTAATCTAACCACAGACTAAAACTCACCTGGGCATGCTACTTAATTTCTCACTTTCCTCACTGTAAAAGTGGGATAATAACAGTACTTATTTCATAGGGATGTTGTGGGGATTAAATGAGAATGCATAAAACACAGAAAATGTCTAATACATAGTAAGCACTCACTAAATGTTGTAGGTATTACTTTCATTTGAATTTTGCCAAATGCTTCCACTTGAGCCAACTGAACTCAGATATTAACATATAATGAAATTTTAGGGCTGGAAGGGACTTTGGAGTCTATCTGCTCCAAAGAAATTTAAGGCATTTGTCTGGAATCGAACAATTTATGAGGGACCCAAGATGAAATCTGAGTTTCCTGACTGTTAGCCTCATGTAATTTTATGTATAGGAGGAATGTTTTATTTAGAATGGTGTTTGACACAATGGTCTACTTGATTCTGCACAAATCAAATTTGATTTTCTTTGGTTAGTGTTCATTTCCTCTGAAAATCCATCTATTTAAGCACAGAGAACACAACCAACCCTCATGACTGTTAAATCTTGGCCTGAGTACAAAATGAAACAGGCCCAAACATTGAATCAAAGCTCTTTGCAGCCTAGAGGTAGGACTCTAGCCTGAAATTAGCTCTATTTTGCTCACCAGCTTAATGATATTGTCAGTTGTTTTTTAATTAAGTCGCCCTTAATTGCTACACTGAATGAATTTTAAGAGCTGGCAGAAATGCTTGTTGTGTTCCAATGCACTTTAAAGTGAAAAAATTTAAATTGGTTCTCTTTTAAAAGGCTTAGATAAGGGCATTTCAGAAAGCAGCTTAAACATGTTTTTCCAGGTAATAGGGGTCTGGAAATTCCAGCAAGTTTGCATGTTCTCCAGGCTCTAAGAGTTATATTCTCATTCCTCCATTCAAAGTAAGCCTTTGAATTGCCTTATCTGTGAAACAGAAATCATGACCCTGGTAACCCAGGGGAGATATACAGGGGTCATGTGACAAAGGCATAACCCAAATAGATGACGACAATTTCTAAAACAACTATAAAGACGGATTTCCTGTTTTTATTCTTTCTTTCCAAAATCAAATCACTATACAACAGAGAGCAGTGTGCCATCTAGCTTCTCTTCTGCCCTTATGAAGGTTCAACTGAGATACTTCTTGAACAAAATAGATGAAGTGAAGTCAGCATACGTTGCCATTACACTAGCAAACAAAGAAACAGATATTGCCTCCTTCTAAGAGAGCCTGTTGAAACAGTAACGTGAATTCCCAGCAGACCAATTGTTTGCACAAGAATATGCTATTGCTGTTCCTTAGCAACCAATGCCATTCTTCAAAGGCACTGTGAATGAAGAGTTAAATACCTTCTTCTGTCCCTTGTATCTAAAGTATGACTTGAGATTCTGATTAAAGTGAATGTTCTACTGGCATTTTGGAAGCACTCAACTGATGAAGCTCATTCATGGAGTTGAGTCAGATGCTGTTTTGGTCAACGGAAGTCTCAGACAAATAAATACGTCATCACCCGATTTGTGCAGGTCAGCTGTAGATGCATACAGTAGCATATGGTCTACTCTGGTTGGCATCAACCATGACATTCAACTCTCCATTCTCTTACTCGGCTCTCTTCTATTCTGCCATAGAAAGAGACAACTGAAGTGTGAGGCACTCAGGATACGGAGGTGCTGTGAAATGTTTAACAAATAAACCTCTACTTAATTTAAAGTGACAAGATACCACAAATTTAATGACAATCTACAATTAAAATATTTAGAAACTCTATATAATGGTTCTATTGCTATTTGAATATAAACACAAAAGAAAGTAAGATCTGTCAATGAAATACTTCATTAAATTAGGTTATAAACCATTAAGCCTGGTTTGTTACAATAGGCTCTTTGTTACTATTATTTATTTCTAGCATTAAAATCCTAGTTTAATGTCAATGATTTTCCCCTCGAGTTCCTCCTCTTCTAAGAAGAAGAGTCTTCTTCTTACTGTTCAGAGGGCTTCTCAGAATGTAAGAGATAAAATGGCTCTACAAAGAAAATTTATGCTTCATAGCAAAGGTGACTTGTATTTGATTTCTATGATGGTTTTCCCATTAAAGATCTCTGGAGTGGACTTCGGAAAGTCTTCTCAGTAAGCTAGCTCATATTTAATATTGCTCAATTGTTCATTCATTCATTACTTTGTCCACTCATTCGACAAGTTATTTGTTGGGCATCTTGGTGCCATAAACTGGGTTAGGGGCTAGGGATACAACAAAACAAACATGTTCCCTTCCCTCAGGATTACAGTCCTAAGGGGGCAACAGAAAATTAACAGCCAAATACAATGCAGCATGTCAAGTGCCAATGTCAGGAGAGGATCAATGCTAAAGGAGCACCTAGCAAGGTCCCCTTACCCAGACAGGGTTCATAAAAGATATCCTGGAAAAAATGGTGGTGAAACAGGAGAGCTAAAGGAATAAAAAAGGGTTCTTGGAAGAGGGGGTAGCAGGTACACAGGCCACGAAAAGAAAGGCATGGCAAGAGAAAGAAATGGAAACTCATTACTCATATACTTACATTGGGATAATGAGCTCAAAGGAGGTAAACTGGGGACTGACCAGGAAATGTTGTATAAGCCAAATGAAGGTGTCTGAGTTTCCTTAAAAGTATGGGGGAGGCATTAAAGGTATTTGGAAAGGAAGGTGGGAGTCTTCTTGACTGTGGCCTAGTCTTCCTGCCATCTTGTACTTATTGGATCGATGTTCACTGCGCCATCAGACTACTTCTCTCATCATGTCTCTGATCTCACCTCAGTTTAGAAACTTCTATAGATATTTTATAACCACAGAATGGCTTTTTTTAAAGCTAAGCTATCCATCATGTTCTTGGTCTGGGGGCTCACACGCTCTAATTCTCTAATTATTCTTACTATTCAAGTAGATGAATACAGGTTAAAAAAAGTTTAACTACAAGTTTATGACTATGACTTCAAAAGCACAGGCAACAAAAGAAAAATATCAAGTGGGGCTACATCAAACTAAAAGGCTTCTGCACAGGAAGGGAAACAATCAACAAATGGAAAGGCAACTTAGAGAATGGGAGAAAATATTTGCTATTATATCTGATATCATATATCTAATAGGTGGCTAATATCCGAAATATATAAGAAATTCAAACAACTCAATTGCAAAAAAAAAAAAAAAACCAAATAACCTGATTTTTTTAAATGGGCAAAGGACCTGAGGAGGTATTTTTCCAAGGAAGACAAAGAAATGTCCAAAAGTATGTGAAAAGGTACTCAACATCACTAATCATCATAGAAATGCAAATCAAAACCATAATGAAATATCACTTCATATCTATTAGAAAGGCTGTTATCAAAAAGTCAAAAGATAACAAGTGATGGTGAAGGTGTAGAGAAAAGGGAACCCTTGTACACTCTTGCTGGGATTGTAAATTGGTATAACCACTGTGGAAAACAGTATGGATATTCCCTCAAAAAACTAATAGAGCTGCCATATGATCCTGCACTCCTACTTCTGGGTATATATCCAAAAGAACTGAAATCAGTATGTCAAAGAGATATGTGCACTCCCATATTTATTGCAGCACTATTCATAATAGCCAAGATATGAAAACAACCTAAGTGTCCACTGAGAGATGAATGAGTAAAAAATAGCATTCCTTTATGTATATGTACCAGACATATATATATATATTCCCTTATGTATATGTATCTGGTACACATACATGAATGAGTAAAAAATAGTATTCCCTTATGTATATGTACCTGAGACATATATATATTCCCTTATGTATGTGTATCTGGTACATATACCTGAGGGAATACTATTCAGCCTTTAAAAAGAAGAAAATTCTGCCATTCGCTGAAACATAGATGAACCTAGAGGATGTTATGTTAAGTGAAATAAGCCAGTGCAGAAAGAAAAATACTGTATGATCTCACTTACATGTGGAGTCTAAAGCAGTTGAACTCATAGAAACAGAGTAGAGTGGTGGTTGTCAGTGGCTGGGAAAAATGTGGGGATTTGGATCAAAGGATACAAACTTTCAGTTATAAGATGGGTTCTGGTGATCAAATATACAGCATAGTAACTATAGTTAATTATAATGTATTGTATACTTAAAATTTGCTAAGAGATCTTTAGTGTTCTCACCATACATCAAAGAAAAGGTGAGCATATGAGGTGATGGATGTTAATTTGCTTGATTTGGTAATCACTTCACAATGTATTCACATTTTGAAACGTGACAGTGTATACCTTAAATATATACATTTTTTATTTGTCAATTATTTTTCAGGAAAGCTGGTTGGGGGAGACAGGAAAGGTGAACTGTTTCATCTGAGGGCCTGTGGGGTGCTGAGTCAACTGAGTAAGGCCTAAAACCTAAGCTCCTATTGGTCATTCTTTTATGGAGCAATATCAGGTAGTGAAGTCCAGCTTGACTGATGTAGGTGTTTTCTTCTCTTATTATATAAGCTAGGTTAAATATTTGTGTTTTCTTGTTGTTTTTGTTTTGTTTTGTTTGAGACAGGGTCTCCCTCTGTCACCCAGGCTGGAGTGCAGTGGCATAATTTTGGCTCACTGCAGCCTCAGCCTCCCAGGGTCAAGTGATCCCCTGACCTCAGCCTCCTGAGTAGCTGGGACCACAGGCATGCATCACCATGCCTGGCTGATTTTATTTATTTTTTGTAGAGATGGGGTCTCACTATGCTGCCTAGGCTGGTCACAAACTCCTGGGCTCAAGTGATCCTCCCACCTCAGCCTCCCAAAGTGTTGGGATTACAGACATGAGCCACCATACCTGACCAATGTTTGGATTTTTTTTTTAAACCTTACTGGCACATTTAAAAGCTGAGAGACTCTCTTGAATGACTGCTATCAAGAACGTAATTTAAGAAGTATCATGATGAAGTCCTGTTAATAGGATTTATATTCTGAACACATGGAAGACTTTTCAGTGAAATCTTGGACTTTTTCCAGTGTTAGCATCACCTAAATGAAAGCATAATGATATGATGTAAGCAGTCCATATCCTCATGGAAGATTTTTTTTTATTATTAATTAATGCTCCTAGAAATGAAAGTGCAATACTACCACAACAAAACCAGACTCTCTGGCTCCTCAGTTATCCTGTACATTTTCCAACTTCCCCAAGAAAAGTAGCTATTATATTTGCCTAGCTTTGGCCATTAGATGTTCTTTCAGATTGGCTTCTGTGTCCTTTTAGTGTACTTTTAAAATCTTGAGCATTTTCTTACTTTCTGGCACCAAAAGATGCTCTCAGTTCCTCTTGTATTTTCCTCTCCCAGTCTTAGAATCAGCCATTTCTCCAAGGAGCCCTGGGCTATTTTATCAGAAAATGATATTCAGAAACCAAAATCTGGGTACTAGGAATGTTCATTGCTCTTCATGGATACAGCTGGAAAATATTTGTATGTATATTAATGCAGGTATACAGAGATATCTGTTTTTCTGTAGCTAGCTATCCAAATATGCATTAAAATAACAGGAGTTCATACTGATATTTCTAACTTTAATCCAGCACCATAGGATTTATCACGGCATTCAGAGGAGGGTTTTTAATCAGACAAAGATTTCTGTATTTCTGTAGCTAGCTATCCAAATATGCATTAAAATAAACAGGAGTTCATACTGATATTTCTAACTTTAATCCAGCACCATAGGATTTATCACAGCATTCAGAGGAGTTTTTAATCAGACAAGGATTTCAAGCAAAGAAAAGATTTCTCAAAGCAGGTATGTCTTAGGCCAGACTGAGAGGGGAAAATACTGATGTGGTCATTGAGATTCTTTAAATAAAAAAATCTTCTCAGCAATAGGTAGTAGGTTGTACTGACTACGTTTTACAGGTGGGAAACCTGAGGCTCAAGAGGGTTAAGAAAGTTGCCAATATTTTTACTACAAGCAAAAAACAAACAACCCCATTAAAAAGTGGGCAAAGGACATGAACAGACATTTTTCAAAAGAAAACATGTATGTGGCCAACAAGTATATGGACAAATGCTCAACATTACTAATCATTAGAGAAATGCAAATCAAAACCACAAAGAGATACCATCTCACACCAGTCAGAATGGCTTTTGTTAAAAAGTCAAAAAAGAACAGATGTTGGAGAAGTTTCAAAGAAAAGGGAACACATAAGCAAACGCAAAATAACGAAAATCATAACAAACAGTCTCTCAGACCACAGTGGAATCAAATTAGAACTCAGGATTAAGAAACTCACTCACACCCACACAACTACATGGAAACTGAAAACCTGCTCCTGAATGACTACTGAGTAAATAACAAAATTAAGGCAGAAATAAATAAGTTCTTTGAAACCTATGAGAACAAAGACACAACGTAACAGAATCTCTGGGACACAGCTAAAGCAGTGTTTAGAGGGAAATGTATAGTACTAAATGCCCACAGGAGAAAGCAGGAAAGATCTACAATCGACACCCTAATATCACAATTAAAAGAACTAGAGAAGCAAGAGCAAACGAATTCAAATGCTAGCAGAAGACAAGAAATAACTAAGATCAGAGCAGAACTGAAGGACAGAGAGACATGAAAAAGCCTTCAAAAAATCAATGAATCCAGGAGCTGGTTTTTTCAAAAGATTAATAAAATAGACCACTAGCCAGATTAATAAAGAAGAGAAGAGAGAAGAATCAAATAGACACAATAAAAAATGATAAAAGGGATATCAACACTGATCCCACAGAAATACAAACTACCATCAGAAAATACTATAAACACCTCTATGCAAATAAACTAGAAAATCTAGAAGAATTTGATAAATTCCTGGACACATACACCATCCCAAGACTAAACCAGGAAGAAGTCGAATCCCTGAATAGACCAATAACAAGTTCTAAAATTGAGGCAGTAATTAATAGCCTACCAACTAAAAAAAGCCCATGACCAGACAGATTCACAGCTGAATTCTACCAGAGGTACAAAGAGGAGCTGCTTCCGTTCCTTCTGAAACTATTTCAAACAATAGAAAAAGAGGGACTCCTCCCTAACTCATTTTAAGAGTCCAGCATCATCCTGATACCAAAACCTGTCGGAAACACTACAAAAAAAGAAAACATCAGGCCAATACCCCTGATGAACATTGATGTGAAAATCCTCAATAAAATACTGGCAAATCTAATCCAGCAGTACATCAAATAGTTTATCCACCACAGTCAAGTCAGCTTCATCCCAGGGATGCAAGGCTGGTTCAACATACATAAATCAATCAATGTAATCCATCACATAAACAGAACCAATGACAAAAACCACGATTATCTCAATAGATGCAGAAAATGCCTTCAATAAAACTCAACATCGCTTCATGCTAAAAACTCTCAATAAACTAGGTATTGATGGAATGTATCTCAAAACAATAAGAGCTATTTATGACAAACCCACAGCCAGTATCATACTGAATGGGCCAAAGTTGGAAGCATTCCCTTTGAAAACCGGCACAAGACAAGGATGCCCTCTCTCACCACTCCTATTCAACATAGTATTGGAAGTTCTGGCCAGGACAATCAGGCAAGAGAAAGAAATAAAGCGTATTCAAATAGGAAGAGAGGAAGTCAAACTGTCTCTGTTTGCAGATGACATGATTGTCTATTTAGAAAACCCCATCGTCTCAGCCCAAAATCTCCTCAAGCTGATAAGCAACTTCAGCAAAGTCTCAAGGTACAAAATCAGTGTGCAAAAATCACAAGCATTCCTATACACCAATAACAGACAAACAGAGAGCCAAATCATGAGTGAACTCTTATTCACAATTGCTACAAAGAGAATAAAATACCTAGGAATACAACTTACAAGGGATGTGAAGGACCTCTTCAAGGAGAACTACAAACCACTGCTCAACGAAATAAGAGCAGACACAAACAAATGGAAAAACATTCTATGCTCATGGTTAGGAAGAATCAATATCGTGAAAATGGCCACGCTGCCCAAAGTAATTTATAGATTCAATGCTATCCCCATCAAGCTTCCATTGACTTTCTTCACAGAATTAGAAAAAAAACTACTTTAAATTCCATACGGAACCAAAAAAGAGCCTGTATAGCCAAGATAATCCTAAGCAAAAACAATAAAGCTGGAGGCATCATGCTACCTGACTTCAAACTACACTACAAGGCTACAGTAACCAAAACAGCATGTTACTGGCCCAAAACAGATATACAGACCAATGGAACAAAACAGAGGCCTCAGAAATAACACCACACATCTACAACCATCTGATCTTTGACAAACCTGACAAAAACAAGAAATGGGGAAAGGATTTCCTATTTAATAACAGGTATTGGGAAAACTGGCTAGTCATATGCAGAAAACTAAAACTGGACCCCTTCTTTACATCTTATAGAAAAATTAATTCAAGATTGATTAAAGACTTAAATGAAAGACCTAAAACCATAAAAACCCTATAAGAAAACCTAGGCAATACCATTCAGGACATAGGCATGGGCAAAGACTTTGTGACTAAAACACCAAAAGCAATGGCAACAAAAGCCAACATTGACAAATGGGATCTAATTAAACTAAAGAGCTTCTGCATAGCAAAAGAAACTATCAGAGTGAACAGGCAACCTACAGAATGGGAGAAAATTTTTGCAATCTATCCATCTGACAAAGGGCTAATATTCAGAATCTACAAGGAACTTAAACAAATTTACAGGAAAAAAACAAACAACCCCATCAAAAAGTGGGCGAAGGACATGAACAGACACTTCTAAAAGAAGACATTTATGCAGCCAACAAATATGAAAAAAAGCTCATCATCACTGGTCATTAGGGAAATGCAAATCAAAAGCACAATGAGATACCATCTTACACCAGTTAGAATGGCGATCATTAAAAAGGAAACAACAGATGCTGGAGAGGATGTGGAGAAATAGGAACACTTTTACACTGTTGGTAGGACTGTAAATTAGTTCAACTATTGTGGAAGACAGTATGACAATTCCTCAAGGATCTAGAACTAGAAATACCACTTGACCCAGTAATCCCATTACTGGATATATACCCAAAGGATTATAAATCATTCTACTATAAAGACACATGCACACGTATGTTTATTGCAGCACTATTCACAATAGCAAAGACTTGGAACCAACCCAAATGCCCCTCAATGATAGACTGGATAAAGAAAATGTGGCACATATACACCATGGAATACTATGCAACCATTAAAAAGGATGAGTTCATGTCCTTTGCAGGGACATGGATGAAGCTAGAAACCATCATTCTCAGCAAACTAACACAGGAACAGAAAACCAAACACCGCATGTTCTCACTCATAAGTGGAAGTTGAATAGCGAGAACACATGGACACAGGGAGGGGAACATCACACACCAGGGCCTGTCAGGGTGTGGGCGGCTAGGGGAGAGACAGCATTAGGAGAAATACCTAATATAGATGACAGGTTGATGGGTACAGCAAACCACCATGGCATGTGTATACCTATGTAACAAAGCTGCACGTTCTGCACATGTACCCCAGAATTTAAAGCAAAGCAAAATAAAATAAAATAAAATAAAATAAAATAAAATAAAATAAAATAAAATAAAATAAAATAAAAGTGAGCCTTCCTTTCCCTTGTAGAATGTTCGTAACTTAGAGTATCAGAGAAGAGAGGAAGCAATGCAGGTCAGGGAAGTAGAATGAGTGAAGGCAGAGAAGGGCATGTGCTGGGGCTGGCGAGACACCAGCGTGGTCAAGGCTGAGCATGGAGTCTTTGTGTACGAAGGAAACCATATTGGCTGTCTGGCCTCCCCTGCAGCCCATTTCAGTGCAGCAGATTTAGAATCTACCCAGGGGGCTTAGGAGAATTACACACCTAAATCTGTTTCTGCCTTCTTGGGTAATTGGCTTCATCTCTCTGTACCTGTTTCCTCATCTGTAAAACAGAATTATGACATCTTTTCGCCATACAAGGCAATAATAAAAGGCAAAGGAATGAAAAGATTAATGCAAACTCTTATGCTTCATAAGCAGTTTTGCTTCTGGAGCTGTTATGATAAAATTAAATGATGCAATTGAAAATGACCTATACAAACATAAAGCACTCTTTTTTTTTTTCTTTTTTAAACAGCTCCAGATGAATGCACTGTACTTTAATATCCTGGGGAATATGAATTGAATACATTAATCTATGAAATCTGGAAATAAGTCAGATCTAAGCATTCCCATTTTAAAAGATTCAGATTAGGTACACCAATATTCCTAATACTGAATATATCTAAGTAATTTATGTGATATTAATTCCAAACCCAGAGCTTCCTTTCAATTCACCCCTGGAATGTAAACTCCCTGCAGATAAGCCCATGCCTCAAGGACAGTTTTGGATTTTTCAGAGGCCAGAGCTCTGGGTATGAACCAGTAATTCCTTCAGCACCATACACTTGTTTCTTTTTTCTATGTAGTTTTTTTGCTATCTATGTCACATACACAATTTTATCAGCATGGATAGAGAAGGGGTATAATATGGGTTAAAAGTACACTGGAGCCAGACCATCTGGATTCAAATGCTGTTTATGCCACTTATTAGGTGCATAATCTTGGGCATATTCAAGATATAACCTCTTCACACCTCAGTTTCCTCATTCTGAAAACTGAGAAAATGACAACATACTACAACTAGGGCTGTTGGGAAAATAATTGAGACATGTAAAGCATTTAGAACACTGTTTGGAACATAGTGAGAACTTAATAAGTGTTAGTTATAATTATACTACACTAACAGCCTTATCAAGTAGAATCCCTAATGAGGGGGCACAGATTGTGAGTTAAAGTATTAGCAGGTGTTTTATTATCACACTTAATCACATGGGGAGAGGAGAAAAGTAGAATCACTAATACTTGTAAGGCCTGATTTCTAGAACGAACTTTATGCCTGGGATGTGATGTTTTAGGGAGCAGGGACATGTGGAGTGTGGAGTGTGAAACCGTGCTCCAGGATAGCAGCAGCCTGGTGCAGCCTCCTGCCTCTACTTCCCAGCACACACATCCACCCTGAGCAGGTAATGTTCTCACGGACCTTGACAAACATACTTGCTCTTGTTCCTCCAGCTGAGCTGCTCTCCTCATCTCCCCTAAATATGCTGAATGCTGTCCATCCTCAAATGCTGTTTCTATCCCTGGCTCCTCAGCACCCTTCCTGTCCGTAGCTAGTCTCATATTCTGCTTTTAACTCTTTTTATGTGTAAGTTGAGAAATTCACTGTTCCAAATTTAACTTTTACCACATTATCCATGTACATGGATTATATTATATTAGGTGTGTTCACCTAACAGGTTTGTGAATTCCTTAAGGACAAAGTCATATCTTACACAAGCTTATTTTGTATCTTTTCAGCAGCCGTTCTTAACTGGGGACAATTTTGCCCCCCAGAATATATATGACAATGTCTGGAGACATTTTTGGTTGTCATGATGGGGAAGGGGAGTGCTACTGAGATCTGGTGGGTTGAGACTAGAGACCTTCCTAAATACTCAACACACAAGACAGCCTGCCCCTCTTCTCCCCATAACAAAGAATTGTCTGGTCCAAAATGTTCATTGTATTAGGGTTGAGAAATCCTGTCCAATAATACCAAGGACAGTGGGAAAATGAGATTCATTCCAATTACATGATTTTTTTCTGTAATGTCTTAATGGGCCAAGCACTAAGTTTCAACTTCCATTCCAGGGTCATGTCCACTAACCCAAGGTCCTTTCTTTTTATTAATAGCAATAATGATAACCATGAAGATAAAAGTGGATATATTTTGTTTTATATTGTTTGGGCCTTGTGGTATTTGTGCCAGCAGCAGGGACTGTTCAATTGTCATTATGAATAGAGACAATGACATCTCCTTGGCAAAGGGTAGACCACACAGGTCAGTCCCTGGCTTACACTTCATCCAGTTACATGCTCTGAAAGCCTTTTACCAGCAGGCTCATCCCACCTTACTTATCTGAATATTAATACAGCCCATCCCATGGACAGGTAGCGTCTGAGGTTACTTTTTCTGCTCTTGCCCAGGTATATCTAAGGTGACTGAAGTGGACTCCTGCATACCACCTGCTTATCTCCTTGCAGTTTTCTTTTGCCAGTCCTGCCACACTTGCCCCATCCCTGTGAATGAGGTTTATGTCTATGTTCCTAAATGAGTTCTAGTACAGCCCTATAGTTCAGGTCCTCATCCTTTATCTCTGGCTCTCAGCAAGCTTCACTGACCTGGAAATGAACCTTGCTCTCAGTATCCAAGGCATCAGCTGTGGGCCTGCTTCAACCACAATGGCCCTGCTGGCACCATAGCTCTGGAAACAACCTAACCATTAGAGAGATCTGTGCCCAAAAGAAATGAGACTATTTGGCCTCAAGATCTCCTGAGTATTAACTTTACCCCTTAAATGGTATGATTTTAACCTTTATTTTAATAATTTAGATTCACAAAAGATATGAGCAACATTACTATGATTTGGTAGGCCGGATCCTTTTGGAGTGAACCTCTATAGTCAGTACCTCTCCCCTAGTCTACTGTGGCATGCACAGCCATTTCACTGCCAAAATGGAGCCCATGCTTGGCACACATAAAATTTGAAGGAGAGGGGCATGTGCACATATTTTAAAATTTTTTAAATCACAATATATAATTATTAAAAATTAGAAAATAAAATAACTTTTGATTAGAATTATGACTAGTTTCTATCCCATTCTTAGAGCCAGACTTCATTTTAATTTTCTGTCTTCTGGTACTGTGATATGTTTCTATCACTCAAATGTGATTAAGGCTTAAGACTTCTTATGGAGTACAGAAAATAGAAGGGAATAAATGACTACTTTGAGATCACGGCAACCAATTTGGTACTTAATTTCTGTTTTGTGAGGATGGTTTTAAAAGACTCTTTACCACAACTGTATCCTGCCTAGACTTTTTCTCAAAAAAAGATCTTATAAATTTGCCAGATTTATTGAAGTAAAATATTATCCAGCAGAATATCTTCTTTCTAATCAATCTGTCCTCTGAATTGCAAAATTCACAGGACACAATTCTTCACAACTCTACCATTCAGGATAATGTCTGTTGATATGATCTTTCAAATTACCAACAGATCATCAAGGAATATACATAGCTGACTGTGTTCATTAAATCAATATGGTTTAGGGCCAAGTCATGGTAAATTGCACCTGCAGGGCTCGTAGGAGATAATAGAAGAGACTCAAGATGTTTACAACTATAATGTCTATGCACTAATCTGAAGTCAGAATTGTAAAATAAGTTTTAAAGAAAACTTATAAATTATATGAAAAAGAGGTGGGATTTCTGGAATGGCTTAATGAGGAGCTCGGCAAATCTTTTCCCCAAAGGGCAATGATAAAAGTGGGCACAGTTGTCAAAAACAACCAAATTAAGATTCTAAAAACTGATCAATGGCATATAACAAATTGAAAAGGATTTATAAAGAACACCTACTGAATCTTAGTAACAACAGTGGAATCTGTGACATCTTCCCCAGAGACTGCTCCTATCCTCTTCCCCCTCACACCTTAGGCTCCATTACCTGAAAGTCCTACCCCAGCCTCAGCAGATGAGGAAGACTATGTGGGCTGGCAGCTCACTGCCCTGCTGGAGGGGGCTGACTATATTTGGAACAGGGCATGGAAAACAGTGCCCAGGGTACTATCAGAAATAAGAGATGTCACAGTGGCAAGCAATCAGGACAGCCTAACATCAAGGCTAGCCTAGGTTTTGATACTGGTTGGAACGAGCAAACACAAAATGGCAGAGCAGCCAGAAATTTAATAAGAAAATCCAGGGAAGGAAAGAACTAAAGACAGCCTTTTAAAGATCCCCTTATCTCTAAAGGTATACAAGGCTGGGCAAATGCTTAAAGCTGTGCGTACACAGGAAAGACCAGACAGGGCTCTAGAGAACTACCTATCCTTTGCTGATTTTCCCCTAGTCATTGGGTGTCTAGTACATCAAATGATAACTGAATTCACTTATAACTATTTTCTGGAGTTACAAATCATACACTATGGGTCATCTATATCACTTCCTTTATTACACAGATGAGAAACACAAGGCCTCTGAACACTTTAAGAACAAGAGTTTCTAAAAAGTTAGTAGAAAATCAACAGAGGTTGTTTTTTTCTTGCAAATTTGTTTAAGTTCTTTGTAGATTCTGGATATTATCCCTTTGTCAGATAGATAGATTGACCCAGCAATCCCATTACTGGGTATATATCCAAAGGATTATAAATCATTCTACTATAAAGACACATGCACATGTATGTTTATTGCAGCACTATTCACAACAGCAAAGACTTGAGACCAACCCAAATGTCCATCAATGATAGACTGGATAAAGAAAATGTGGCACATATACACCATGGAATACTATGCAGCCATTAAAAAGGATGAGTTCATGTCCTTTGCAGGGACATGAAGCTGGAAACCATCATTCTCAGCAAACTAACACAGGAACAGAAAACCAAACACTGCATGTTCTCACTCATAAGTAGGAGTTGAACAATGAGAACATTTGGACACAGGGAGGGGAACATCACACACAGGGGCCTGTTGGGGGGTGGGGAGCTAGGGGAGGGAGAGCATTAGGACAAATATCTAATGTAGATGAACACGGGTTGATGGGTGCCACAAACCACCATGGCATGTGTATACCTATGTAACAAACCTGCACATTCTACACATGTACCCCAGAACTTAAAGTATTAAAAAAAAAAATCAACAGAGGTTAGTACAAATGGCCCCTGCAACTATGCCAAAATCCACTTAACTGCAAAAAGGTGGCATAAAATTAACAAACAAAAATTGGTCAGGTAAGTTAGAACTTATCTGAATACACGGTTATACATGAACTTCCTCAACCTTTGGCAGGGATGTCCAATCTTTTGACTTCCCTGGGCCACACTCGAAGAAGACAAATTATCTTGGGCCACACATAAAATACACTAACAATAGCTGATGAGCTTAGAAAAAAAAAATCACACACAAAAAAATCTCATAATGTTTTAAGAAAGTTTATGGATTTGTGTTGGGCCACATTCAAAGCTGTCCTGGGCCGCCGCATGCAGCCCACAGGCCCTGGGTTGGATAAGTTTGATAGTCTCTCTTCCTTTTCACTCCTTTTTCTCCTGTGAAGTCTTATAAAGGAAGAGACTAATATGGGTTCTCCAGAAAGTCATTCCTTGTGGGGTAAGGTGATAAACTCTACCTTGGAGAATGAGTCACACCTGTTCTGTAAATGGTCATTGCTTGTAACCAATCCTCCCACTTTCTGTTCCTCTTTTTCTCAACTCCGGATTCCTAGTTCTAGATCTTCATTTTATTTTCTTTGTGGGTGACAACCTGGCTAAAAATACTCTACTCTTTTGGCTGGGTATCTACAAGTCCCAGGGAAAACAACCATGAATAGATATAAGCTCCAGTTCCAATTGCCATCCAAAACTATTAACATTTTAATCTGTATAACACAACTTGTTTCCATAACAAAAGGCTATCCATTCATGTTCTCAAGCCCTCTTATTGTAAATTCTGCTTGTTCAAGCAAGTGATTTTAAGTTCTCTTGGAGACGACAGAACACTCCATGTAAATTAAATGCTGTTTTCCCCTAAGCTTTGTAGAATGCAGGAAGCCACTTTGGATGGGCACCAAGGAGACCTGCTCCCAAGACAACCTTTATATGTTCCTTTCCTGACAGCTCAAGCTGTCCCATCCTTGGCTGTCCCATTTGGCCCATCCGTAGCCTTTAGTCAATTTTAAACCACTAGGAAAAACAAGGACCAAATCCTTGTATTTGTACAGCTGACATCTTTGCTGCTGAGAACCTTGTGTAATCTATCCTTGTGACAAGGATAGCCAGAAACTGTAATAGTTTAAAAACATATCTGACAAATGGTCTAACAGGCAGTCAAGAAACAGTTCAAAGCAAAGAATGAAGTAGGGCTGGCTGCTGCACCGTGGAGTGAGCCCCTTCAGATGTTTTCCTTCCTTTGTTACTTGAAGACAGCATCTGGGGATAGAAGGCTGGGAATCTGGGGCAGGCGTGACAGGATGGTGTTTCGATCAAGGGATAACACCTGGGTGAAACTAATTCATCATGGAAACCTCATCTGCTCTTTCAAATTAGAAAAACATACTGAAAGATGACTGACGGCAGCGTGGTATAGATTTTGCCAACAATTACACTGGGTTTGAACGGTAGTTGCCATGTGCCTGCTCAGTGACTTCGGATGGCGTCTTTAGTCTCTGAGCATCTCTGAGTTTCCTTTATTGCACAATAGATTAAATGAGATAATTTAGGTACAATGCCTAGCATTGTTCATGCGTTCACATATGTCACCACTTCTCACTTTCTGCCTTACTGATGCCAACCAGAGACAGGTGCTAGTGATAAACACCGTCTCTATGCAGATGTAGGAATACAACTTCTTATCATAACTAATTTCTAACAACAACAACAACTACAAAAACTCCAGGACTAATTCTGCAATTTAACAACTCAAATTCTATCTTTCAGCAAGGATGAAATGATTAACTTTTACTTGACACTTTTCCTCCTGAGTCATTTCTTTGATCCAATATTTTAACAGCAGCTGAGCGACACAGCAGGATTCCATGGATCAGCCACCACCAACCACACAAAAGGCTAGGAATTATTTCAGATCAGGATGCTGCCAGAGCACAGCTCCCCAAATAAAACATTTTATAGTACAATTTTTGTTTTCAAAACTCCCTGACCAGCTCCCTTTCCTCTGCCAAGAGATGCCTGGATGTGACGGGATCCTCTTCCTACCCAAATCTGGAGCACTCTGTGATGGCACCAGGTAAAAGGTGATGCCCTGTTCAGGTTTCAGGCTGACACACCACACCTGCTGTCAAAACTACTTCACACCCTGGTGGGAAGAAGCTCCTCTCAATTCTCAGTAGTGCCCACTGCAATTATTACATGTGAGTAAATAATAAGTCACAGAAATACTGTGATGACTCACACATCAAAAAGAAAGCCCTAGTCTGGGCTTACAGGCCAGGAAGCAATCTCCAGGGGAGAATCTGATCTTGCTAGCTAAAAAGAGCAGGTAGGAAGCATAAGCCCTGCAAATACTTTTCTAATTAAATGAAGTATGTTTTTCCCTCCCCTCTTCTCTTGCCCTGTCTTCCTTCTCTCCTGTCTTGACAGATGCTCTTAGACAATCTGGGTTACATTTGTCAGCCTGAAAACAGTGCTAAGATAAAAACAGACACAAAACAAGAGGTCCTACCAGTCAAGAGCAATCAGTGCTCAGAAGCAATAATTTTGCAAAACACAGTGAAGGCAGGACTACATTTCAAGTTTCTGACTTAAAATGTAACTGCACCCCAACTATTATTTAATTACACTTTATTGCAGAAAATAGACTTTGCATCCTGAAACCCAGATCTGTATTCCAATTCAGAAAGTAAAAGAAAAATAGTAATGACCACAACAGCCAAATATAATCAGAAAATGTCGCAGAGTTCTCAGCACATAGATATCCCCCCTAACATCTCAAATATTAATTCTTCTAAAACCAACGCACCATTTGTCCTGAAGCACATAAAACGTTTTATGCTACACATTAAACTCATCATCTCTAATGCCACCCTCCCTCCACTCCCAAACAAGAGCACTCCTTCCTGTGCTTTCAAGCTTGCTGGTCCTCCAAATTAGAGTCCCTGGAGTACATCCTCCAGTGCTCTACACTTTGAATCTGTTAAGATTTTACCGCACGAATGTCTTTTAAAATTTCTTTTCTTCTCTTCATTATCCTTGCTTTGCCTTGCTTTAGTTACTCAGCTTCCTCTCAGGTGACTATTGCAGCTCATGGCTCTCCATGCAGTCACACAGTTTACCTCTAAATAATGCATCTAATCATGCCAGTCCCCGGCCTAAAACCTCCCCCAATTCCCTGTTGCATTCAATTTGGCATTTAAGGCTCGTCACAGCCCACCATCTAGCTAATTCACCTCTCTAGCTCCATCTGGCACCAACCCGCGCCTAAGCTCCAGCCCACTGAGCTGATGAATGTTCCATGAATATACTCATAGCCTTCCATAATTTAATGTACACTTATTGTTCCTGAGACGCTCTCCTCACTCTCTAGAGTTAGTCTCCCCTCTCTGTGCTCTCAACACTTTGTCCTAACCTCTAATTTTGTACTTAGTTTACATTGCAATTACATATTGTATGGGAGTGAGCCTTATTTATCTCTGTTATCACTGATGTCTATTACGGAGTTTGCTATTAGAAGAGAGAAAGACCCGCTAAAGGAAATTCTAAAGTACGTACTGCAGAAAGAAAGAAAAAAAAAAAAACGATAGCAGATGAAAACCTCGAAATGGAAGAAAGTAACAATGAGAGAAGATATTGATAAACAGATGGGAAAAGAAAAACATTGTTTAAAACTATAAGAAAAATGTGTAATTTGTGGAGGAAAAATAGAAAAGCCAGAGAGATATGTCTTTGAATTTTGGAGCATATTCAAATAGAGATTTTTTTTTTAAAGGATGCCTGTTAAAATAGCAGGAGCAGCTACTAAGGAAGCAGACAGACATAGAGCAAACAACCTCTAAACAGGTAGGGGGGACTTGGAGTGAGGAAGAAAGACTTATCAATTCAAAAGACAGCAAGATGGGTATGCGAAGGCAGACAGAGTAGTATAATGGATACTACAGACTCAGAAGCGGGGAGGTTGGGATGGGGGTGAGGGATGAAAAAATACCTGCTGAGTACAATGCACACTATTCAGGTGACAGTTACACTAAATCCAGACTGACTTCACCACTCTACAGCTCATCCATGTAGCCAAAAATACCACTTGTACTCCTAAAGCTGTTGAAACAAAACAATCTTTTATCATAAAAATAATAATAATTTAAAAAAAAACAAGAGACAGCAAGAAGAGAGGGGGAAAGAAATAGCGTTAATAAGCACCCCTATTACTCAGGAAATTACAAGCATTTTAGGAGCTCTGTGTCAGAAACTGAGGGCAGTGACCAAATATATATTTCTTATTATATCACACATGGCAATTAAGAGAAATAGACAAATCCATCACCAGAGGGAGAAACTGCAGTACAACTCTCCTAGTAATTGATAACTTCAGCAGATAAAAAAAGGTCAGTAAAAAGATTTAAATAGCATAATTAACTTTTAGATGTATAGAACATATATAGAATATTGAATACAATAATTAGTGAAATATTAACTCTGAAAACTGACTAAGCTATAAAGAAAACCTCAATAAATTGCAAAGGACTGATATACCAACATTCCCTTACAATGCAATATTAGAAATATATTTTTAAAAGATAACTAGAATGCACAAATGTGAGATTTTATACATATATATATAATCTATACTGTATATATATATAGAATAGTATTCAGCTTTAAAAAAGAAAACTCTGAGGCAGGGAGCGGTGGCTCATGCCTGTAATCCCAGCACTTTGGGAGGCTGAGGTGGGTGGATCACGAGGTCAGGAGATCGAGACCACCTGGCTAACAAGGTGAAACCCCGTCTCTACTAAAAATACAAAAAATTAGCCAGGGGCAGTGGCAGGTGACTATAGTCCCAGCTACTCGGGAGGCTGAGGCAGGAGAATGGCGTGAACCTGGGAGGCAGAGTTTGCAGTGAGCCGAGATCGCGCCACTGCACTCCATCCTGGGCGATAGAATGGCGTGAACCTGGGAGGCAGAGTTTGCAGTGAGCCAAGATTGCACCACTGCACTCCATCCTGGGTGATACAGCGAGACTCCGTCTAAAAAAAAAAAAAAGAAAGAAAAAAAAAGGAAAAAAAAAGAAAACTCTGCCACTTGTGACAACATGGATGAACATGAACATGGAGGGCATTATGTTAAGTGAATAGGCCAGGCACAGAAAGACAAATGGCATATGATCTTCCTTACAGGCATACCACAGGGATGTTGCAGGTCCAGTTTCAGACTACCATAATAAAGTGAATATCACAATAAAGTGAGTCACACAGATTTTCTGTTTCCCCAGTACCTATAAAAGTTATGTTCACATTACTGTAGTCTATTAAGTGTGCAATAACATGTCTAAAAAAAGTACATACCTTAATTAAAAATAATTTATTGCTAAAAATGCTAATGATCATCTGAGCCTTCAGTGAGTTGTAATCTTTTTGCTGGTAGAGGATCCTCAATGTTGATGACTGCTGACTGATCAGGGTGGTGGCTGAAGTTTGGGGTGGCTGTGGCAATTTCTTAAACAATAAAGTTTGCCACATTTTACCCACAGAACTTCTTTCAAAATTGGAGTCAATACTCTCAAACCCTGCTGCTGCTGCTGCATCAACTAAGTTTATGTAATATTTTAAATCCTTTGTTGTCATTTCAATAATGTTCACAGCACCTTCACCAGGGTGGACTCCATCTCAAGAAACCACTTTCTTTGCTCATCCATAAGCAGCAACTCTTCATCCCTTCAAGTTTTATCATGAGATTGCAGAAATTCAGTCATATGTTCAGCCTCTACTTTTAATTCCAGTTTTCCTGCTATTTCCACTACATCCGCAGTGACTTCCTCCACTGAAGTCTTAAACTCTTCCAAGTCATCCATGAGGATTGGAATCCACTTCTTACAATCTCCTGTTAATGTTGATATTTTGACCTCTTCCCATAAATCACGAATGTTCTTAATGGCATCTAGAATGCTGAATCCTTTCCAGAAGGATTTCAATTTACTTTGCTCAGATCCATCAGAAGAATCACTATCTATGGCAATTATAGCCTTATGAAATGAATTTCTTAAATAATAAGACTTGAAAGTTGAAATTATTCCTTGACCCAAGAGCTGCAGAATGAATGTTGCATTAGCAGACATGAAAACAAGAATCTCCTTGTACATCCCCCTCAGAGCTTTTGGGTGACCATGTGTATTGTCAATGAGCAATAATATTTTGAAAGGAATCTTCTTTTTCTGAGCAGTGAGTGTCCACAGTGGGGTTAAGTCGTTCAGTAAACCATGCTATAAACAGATGTGTTGTCATCCAGGCTATGTTGTTCCGTTTATAAAGCACAGGCAATAATAGTTTAGCATCATTCTTAAGGACCTTAGAACTTTTAGAATGGTACATGAGTATTGGCTTCAACTTAAAGTCATCAGCTGCATTAGCCCCTAACAAGAGAGTCACCCTGCCCTCTGAAGCACTGAAGCCAAGCATTGACTTCTATTCTCTAGCTATGAAAGTCCTAGATGTCATCTTCTTCCAACAGAAGCCTGTTTCATCTACATTGAAAATTTGTTGTTTAGTGTTTAATGATCTTAGCTAGATCTTCTAGATAACTTGCTGCAGCTTCTCCATGAGCACTTGCTGCGTCACTTGGTACTTTTCTGTTATGGAGATGGCTTCTTTCCTCTTACCTAATGAACCAACCTCTGCTAGCTTTCCATTTTTCTTCTGCAGCTTCTTCACCTCTCTCAGCCTTCAGAGAGTTGAAAAGAGTTAGTACCTTACTCTGGATTAGGCTTTGGCTTAAGGGAATGTTGTGACTGATTTAATCTTCTCTCTATATATTATCTATCTATCTATCTTCTATATATTCTCACTCTCTCTATATATATCTGAATCACTAAAACTTTCTCCCTATCAGCAGTAAGGCTGTTTTGCTTTCTTATCATTTGTGTGTTAACTGGAGTAGGACTTTTAATTTCCTTCAAGAACTTTTGCTTTGCATTCCTAACTTGTCTCGCTGATGCAAGAGGCCTAGCTTTTGTTTTGGCCTTTAGGCTTTCAACAAGGCTTCCTACACTTAGAGGCCATTTTAGGGTTATTAATTGGTCGAATTTAATATTGTTGTGTCTCAGGGAATAGGGAGGCCCAATGAGAGGGACAGAAGTAGAACCGTTGGTTGGTGGCATAGTCAGAACACACATAACATTTATCAATTTGCTGTCTTATATGGGCATGGTTCACAGTGCCCTAAAACAATTATAGTAGTAACATCAAAGATCACTGATCACCATACGAGATATAATAAAATTTAAAAGTTTGAAATATTGTATTACCAAAATGTGACACAGAGACATGAATTAAACACATGCTGTTGGAAATAGGTGTTGATAGACTCGCCCAATGCAGGGTTGCCATAAACCTTCAATTTATAAAAATTGCAAAACACAATAAAGTGAAGCATAATAAAATAAGGTGTGCGTGTACTAAGTTTGTAAACGTTGAGAAATGTGTCTTGAATAATAATTTCATCTCCAAAAGAGGAGGCAGCAGCTGCTGTAAAATGCTGAAACAACCCCTTCAGGAAACATTCAATCTTAAGTGCAATTGCCTTCCCTTTTTAGTTTTAAACGGAAAAGTTTCTATACAAAGCTGTTTACATAAATATTCAGCTGTTTACCTCTGCACACAAGGTAGAAAAGCAGAAACCTGATGACAATTCAGGAACACTAAACAGACACCAGCTCAAAAATGATGAAAAATTTAGGGAAAGACTCAACCATCTACCACATTAGCCTAATCCATTGGTATTTCATAAGTAATTTCTTTTTAACAGTAGATAGAGTGTCATAAATTTTCAGATAATTTTCTTGAAAAGTATAAGTTATGTCAGTTAAATTATAATGGATAGATTATATTCCATTTTAATGCCAATATGCTCCCTTGGTCTGAAGAGAAAGGCCCAGAGATGCATCTGGTTTGGGCACCAGCACATTACCTGCAATCTCGTTTATCTGTGTAGCAGTCTATATCTTCCAATAGTGGCCACTGCAAGATTGTGAGAAACTTTTCACTTCCCTATCAAGAGATGGAATCTATTTCTACTCCCATGGAACCTAAGTGGCCTTTGTAACTGCTTCAGTTTAATAGAACATAGTGGAGTGATGCTGTCTGATTTCCTAAGGTAGATCATGAAAGGTTCCTGCTTTTTTTTCTCTTGGGTCATGTGCTGAGCAGTGAACTGGTACAGAAGTCTGTCTACCCTGAAGCTATCATGCTGGAGAGACCACAAACAGAGATGCCTGAGGAGCCCAGCTGTCTGTCTTCCCAGCTAGGCTCCAGACATGTAAGTGGGCTAGCTTCAGATGATTCTAACCCACAGCCTCTAGGCCAACCCAGCTGATGCTGAGGCGAGCAGAGATGAGTTGTCCCTGCTGAGCCCTGGCCAGATTGCAGATTCATGAGTCAAATACACATGGTTGTTGCTGACATTAAGTTTTGGAGTGGTTTGTTATGCAGCACCAATTAACTGGAACAGGAGGGACACTGAATGCAAATGTCATCCCTTCATCTACCCAAAGGATAAAAGACAGAACCACAAGCCCAAACAACAGGATTTCTTAAAAACCAAAATGATAGCACTGTATTTTACCCAAAAAGTGCAAGCACCACTTCTGAAAGTTAAATTTGACTTAAGATTCACACACCTTTTGCCACTCACCAACAATGCCGATTAGTGGATATGTATGTAAATGTATTATTTGCAAAAAAGTCCTTTAATATTTTTGCTTTTAGTCTTCAAAAGATCGCTGATGCAGGTTAACAAGCAGAGGCTGTTAACCTGCATCAGCGATCTTTTGAAGACTAAAAGCAAAAATATTAAAGGACTTTTTTTGCAAATAATACATTTAGAAAGTAATCAGATTTTAGAGCTAAGTAAAATCCCTGATCACTTATTGTGTAGCCCTAGACAAGCTACACAACTTTTATTGATCTGTAATATGGAAATAATACCTATCTATTCACAGGGTGGTTACAGAATTAAATGAGCCACTATATATAAAATACTTAGCATGCCTGGTATATAATAGACAATCAACAAGTTTCCTTTCCTTGGCATTCTTGGCCTTTTTCATTGAATGAAAGGCTAAAGGAGAATGAAAGTCCCTAGGTTTGCCCCAGCTAAAAGAAGCCTTCCCAGGAAAGTCAGGCTCTGCTTCCTGTCCGTGAGTGATGCTCCAACACTTGAAAGTTGGCCTCCAACCAGAGCAGCTACTCTGGGTTTATGGTAGTTATTGTTTTAATGGAAAATATTTGAGCAAATTTAACTCTGCATCCCAGCTACTGCTTTTTCTTTTGTTACCATGCATTTTCACCAGCAAAGAACTAATTTAGTGTTTCGTTTATTTTTTTTTGGGGGGGGGGGTGTGGGTGCGGAGTCTTGCTGTGTCACCCAGGCTGGAGTGCAGTGGTACGATCTCGATGCTCACTGCAGCCCCTGTCTCCCAGATTGAAGCGATTCTTGTGCCTCAGCCTCCTGAATAGCCGGGATTACAGGTGCACAACAGCACACCCAATTAATTTTTGTATTTTTGGTAGACAGGGTTTCACCATGTTGGCCAGGCTGTTCTTGAACTCCTGGCCTCAAGTGACCCACCCATCTCAGCCTCCCAAAGTGCTGGAATTACAGGCGTGAGCCACTGTGCCCAGCCTGTTTTGTTTTAAATAGGAGGTCATTGGGGACTTTATGCCAGAGAGGTATCTGACCTGAATTACTGGCCGGCTATATTAAGGAGGCAAAAAATTAACAGGTAACCTATGGATTTTAGGTGTTTGGCCAACAACCTCAATATATGAGCAGACAAAATGACATTATGGGAAGAACAGACAATCAGCTATCCATCTGGGTATTTTTACTTGGTTCAAGCTTAACCTCTAAGTGAACAATGAAGTTTCCTGAAGTAGACAGAGCATGACGGAGAACCAGAGACCAGCCTCACACTTGCTGTGGGATCTTAGGAAGTAACTTTGCAGGCCTTTGTTTCTTCACCCAAGAAACCATGGGATTAGAGTAGATGATCAAACTATGTGATGACCAAAAGGCCTTAAGATCATCTAGTCTAATGTTCTCACTTGACAGGTGAGAAGTGAGGCCAAGAACAATTCAATGGCTTTCTTGATGTCACAGTCCTTGCAGCCAAGAGACTTGGGACTGGCATCCAGTCCCAATAAAGGCAATAAAGATCCTCTTTATTTTACAGGCAATAAAGATCCTCTTTCCACGAAGCCTTAGCTGTCTCTAAAATGATTTGATTCTGATGGTAATGAGGAAGGAACACAATATGCATTTCTATTCAGGTTAATTTAAAATGATTCGACAGGTCAAATATTTATTTCCTAATTTCCAAGCTAACTTTCTTGCTAAGGGAGGACTTGGAATTGTCTTGAACAAGGGCCCATTCTAAGGTCATCATTCTCCAGACCTGAAAAAGCAATGTAAGTGCTTTTCACTTGATATATTCAAAACAGAGTGGATGAATTTTATCAGTGATGTCCCTTGCAAGTGCCAGGTACCCAAGAGAAAATGACAGACTTCTGTGCTCTTTAACCTATGAGTGATAGAGTTACTGTTATACTATGTACCAACCAAGTTTCAGACCCAAGCAAGGTGTGGGGCAAAACTTCTGGCAAGGCTAAGTCTTTATCCATCCACCTGATATTTCTTAATTCTTCCTCTTTAGGGAACAGATAAGTTCTTTAAGTTTCACAGGTCTGATTCACCACAGAGTGATTATATTCAAGAATCCTGATTTGCCCAAAGCAAGATACCTACCTAGGTGAACAGGAAGTAAAGTTTCTCGGCCCAGCCACTCTAGAAATCTGGAGCAAGGGGCAAAGGAAATGTTTCTTATTCAAATTAACATAAATCAACAACATTGACCTTGATATACATGATCTTAATTAAGAACTAAACTGGAATTTAAACATTTGAATGCTACACTAAGGTATCATAGAAATTAAGGCCAAATGTGGAAATTGAAACAATGAGAAAGATAAAGGGGGCCTATAACCAGGAAATACACTGACATAATGGAAATGAGCCAGCCTGGAGTGGAAGACAAGAGGAGCCTGAGGGAGGCAGACTGTCAAGGTTGGCATGATTTTATCTATTGGGGAGACAATGAGGGGTGTATCTAGGAACAAGGGTGGAGATAGTGTGGTTTACCAGACAGATAACTCCTTGCCAGGCAGGTTCTAATATAGCCTGAATGGAAACTTCCTTTTAAGAACATCAACTCTTTGTCTGTGGTTCCACACTTACGAAATGAGATTCTCTTCCCATCCGAGTTCTCACACAGGTCTTCCAATCTGAGACATGTGGAAGTGAAGGAAAAGGCTAGAGAAAGCAGTCCTTTCTGTGCTGTCCAACATGGCAGCCACTCCACAGGGGGTTACTGAGTGCTTAAAACGTGGCTAATGTGAATAAGAAACCAAATTTTATTTTAAATTTTATTTAATTTTATTAAAGTTAAATTTAAATTTAGAAATGGACACTGATTCAGTTACTGGACAACTGATATGCATGTTTGGAATGACTTGGATATGTGAATCTACTTTTTCTACTGTAAGTTTTAATCTAAGTACAGATCAAGTATTGTCCATGAAACTTCAGTGTCCCAATTGAGATGTGCTGTAAGTGTAAAAATATGCTTACAGCACATCTCAATAGGACTTTCAAGACTTCGTATTTTAAAAATGCAAAATATCTCATTAATAGTTATATTAATTACAGTCAGCCCTCCATATCCATGGGTTCTACATATGCAACTGCCCAGTAAAAATATTTTTAAATAAATACAACAAAAAATAATACAGATAATACAACACAACAATTATTTACATAGCATTTACATTGTATTAGGTATTTTAAGTAATCTAAAGATGATTTAAAATATATGGGAGGATGTGTACAGGTTATATACAAATACTTCATTTTATATAAGGGACTTGGGCATCCACAGATTTTGGTATCTGTGGGGAGTCCTGGAACCAATCCTCCATGGATACCAAGGGACAACTGTACATGTTGAAATAATATCTTGAATATATTAAGCAACATAAAATATACTGTTAAAATTAATTTCATGTTTCCTTTTATTTTTTAATGTGGCCACTAGAAAATTTAAAATTATATATAAAGCTCATACTTGAGGTTTATATTACATTTTTATTGGACAATGCTAGTCTAGACTCTGGAGGGTCTAGATAAGACCACCACTTTCTTTTTTTTTTTTTCTGGGGGGGGCGGGGACAAAGTCTCACTCTGTTGCCCAGGCTGGAGTGCAGTGGCGCTATCTCGGCTTACTGCAACCTCTGCCTCCCAAGTTCAAATGATTCTCCTGCCTCAGCCTCCCGAGTAGCTGGTACTACAGGTGCTCGCCACCATGCCTGGCTAATTTTTGTATTTTTTTAGTAGAGATGGGGTTTAACCATATTGGTCAGGCTGGTCTCGAACTCCTGACCTCATGGTCCACCCACTTTAGCCTCCCAAAGTGCTGGGATTACAGGCGTGAGCCACCGCACCTGGTCAGAACATCACTTTTTTAAAAAAAAGATTATAGTAGTATATACTTGGGCTTCTTTGTCAAAATCACACTAGGGTTCACCATGTGAAAAGCCCAAGGATAGTCTTTCTTATTAGATTATACTCTCCCAGTAAATTACAATTTGGCATTTGGCTTACAAATTTGCCTCAGATTAGTTAATTGATGTCAGTCAGCCAGCATACGGTCAACTGTAAAGTAAAAATGACATTGGTGTTCCAGATCAAAGGAACTGATAGAAGGAAACAGCCCTGAAATAAAACAGTGACTATAATTCAAATATTTGAGACTAAATATCACATCCCTTTAGTCTTCTTTTACATGACCACAAAAAGAAACCACATAAGAAGGAAACAGCAATATATAATCCCAACATATACATTCTGAAGAAGATACTATTTTAAATACCCTCTGAACATGAATCAAATATATGGCAAATGATAAATTTATATATACACTTCATATGCACAAGTAAAACTTTATCCGTTAAAGAAAGGTTTCCTTAAGATTGTGATCTAAAAGAAAACATTTGTTCTAAACAATATTGACTGACTGATAATTAAGCCTGTCATTATCATAGCATGTACCCTAGGATCTGATACTACCCCCACCTACCCCCCAAATTGTATTCAAATGAGAACAGCATCCATGCTGAGATAAGGGGATAGCTATATCACCTCTTATTTTCGGAGCTGGATAATCAATTAATCAGGGAGGTTAAATAGCACATTCGAGGTTCAACATTTGCTAAAAGCCACTTATTTCCACTCAGACCCTCAGCTGTCATTCTGGAAGCTGCCACCAGATGCACAGGGTGCTTGTTAATGCGGCAGTAAAGCCCACATCAGAGGGTCTCTTCAAGGTCCAAGGTTTCATACAATTTGGTCAACTGTGCCTTTTCCCCCTATAAATCAGAACTCGATAAAAACTATAATTCATGAACAGATATTTAATTACTACCTTAAGAGCTAAAATAAAGACATAATCTGACATAATATTTACATAAATACAAAATACCTACCTTCAAATTAAGTATCTCTTCCCACTAAATTGCCCTATTTTAAATCTCCATCTAATTCATTTCAGAGTCTAGTTGGAATTCTCCCTGAGTTAATTTGGGATTGTAAATTCTCCAACGAGTCTCAGATCTTCAGAGTAGCATAAGAGCTCCCCATATAATTTTCCTGAGTTAATCTGCTCTTTATTTTCCCCACATGTTTAGCTTCTCGTGGCATCTAGGGTCTCATCTGCTCCTGCCTCTGCATGGCTTGCCTCCGCTCTACTGCCCACTCTGGGTTCCCATTCCTGAGCAGAAAGAACCGTAGATGCTGCCGTCTTGCTCTCCCCACTCTGTGGTCTTGTTCCAATCAGGGAAACATTCCTATGGCAACCAACACACACCACCATCTCACTCCCCTTCTCTGAAAGTTCCCTATTTGCCTGGCAGACGTTTGGCAAGGACGCTGAATTACTTTAACTTGCCTAGCAACTACTAGCCTGTTCCAGCCCCTCTAAAAGGGGTTGGCTTTTTGTCGCTTATCTTTTAAAACACACTCAGGGGCTGGCTGGCTGGCTGTGGAAAGGGCAGCTGCCAAGTCAGCCTCACTGGACACTGGCCTGGAACACACACAGCAGTTGGGCAAACTGGAGCCTCTTCTTGCCCCAGGGTGAAAAAACGTCCACAGGCTTGAGGCAATGGCATGAACAGACAGCTCTGAGGGTCTCACCCTAGGCTAACTCCAGCCGAATTTTAATTCTCAGAGAACCTCAAATCTCCTTCATCTTCAGCTATAAGAAAAGTAAAATTATCAATAGCTGCCTCCACTCAGAAAACCAGGTTTATCCCATTTTGCCATGTACGTCACACCTTTTGGTTTTTATTTAACAGGCTGGAAACCAGCTGTTTTAACTTACAGATTGTAGTTTCTTCATTTCGGTTATTTTGGTATCAGGAAACAACACGGTCCCAAATGACTGATGCTGCTTTCCATATTTTTTTCCCCTCAGTGAATTCTAAAGAATACTTGAAGTATCTATAATCTAATCTGGGTACCCTAAGATGAAATACTTCTTCTAATAATCCATATAGGTGGAGAAGCTTGAACAATGAATAAACAGTTTATTGAGCTCTTGGCTTGCTCTGCTGATAGGATTCCATGCTTGCCTGGTGCCCTTTCAGAACAGAAGCCAACAGTGGGTGCTTTCTCCTAAAAGCAACCAGTGAGATAATCAAGTCAGGTCCTGGAGAAAAACCAAAGCTACTAGATAGGCATTTCTACTCCTACCTGCAGCCAACTTTCTTCCAAAATGAAAGCAAGGCCACTATTGCAGAAGCAGAGAGTTGCCAATTTAGGCCGACAACAGAACTGAAAGTTGACATGGGTGGACACTATCTTTTATAGACAACATTTCCTGCTGGTAGGGTGCAAAAGACCCACTTTTCTAGTTTTGCAACCTTTGAATTTCTTCTAAAAAGAGGCTTCTTATTCACTTCCATGGCTCCTCAAGAACAAGGACATTTTTTTATTGCCATTTCCTATTTCAGTGATGACACACAGTGAGTGCTCAGTAAGCATTTGCTTAAATGAACCTCAAATACAGCAGCAACAGAATGTCAAAATAAGATACTATTTTCACTTATTGTATTTACAAACTGAAATTTTTGTCATATTTAGTGTTGACAAGGGTGTGGAGAAACACGACATTCTTCTACACTGTTGATGGAAGTATAAATTAGGGCAGCCATTTTGGAGGACAATTTGCCAATATTTAGTGATGCTAAAAACGGACACCCTCTTTTACCAGTAATTCCCTTGCCTTGAATGTATCCTACAAATATACTTACAAAAATGCAAAAAGATATATACAAAAATATTTATTGCAGTATTGTTTGCAACAAGATAAAACTGGAAAAACGTAAATGTTGATAAACAGAAGGTAAGCTAAATTATGGCAAACCAATGCAATGGAATACAATATAGCCATTAAAAATGAAATGGATTTATACATACTGATGTGAACAGATGTCTAAGGTATATGCTAACATATCCACAATGGAATCCATATATGTATCCGTACATACACATGTAAGCATAGATGTGTGTTACATGTATATAGGTATTTATGTATACGTGTATGTGTGCTTGTATACAAATAGAACATTAGGTCATTTCTGGTAGAATTTGCAGAGACTTAACAGTGGTTACCTTTAAGGAATGATATTTAGGATTGAGACAATAGGAAGGAAAACTTTTATTTCCACCTTATAGCATCTTAAAATGTTGACCAATTTTTTTTTTTTTTTTTTTGAGATGGAGTCTCGCTCTGTTGCCCAGGCTGGAGTACAGTGGCGTGATCTCAGCTCACCGCAAGCTCTGCCTCCCAGGTTCAGGCCATTCTCCTGCCTCAGCCTCCCGAGTAGCTGGGACTACAGGCACCTGCAACCACACCGAGCTAATTTTTTGTATTTTTAGTAGAGACGGGGTTTCACTGTGTTAGCCAGGACGGTCTTGATCTCCTGACCTCGATCCGTCCACCTCAGCCTCCCAAAGTGCTGGGATTACAGGCGTGAGCCACCGTGCCTGGCCAATGTTGACCAATTTTTAAAACAAGGAATATTCTACTCATATTTTAAAAACATGTTAATAATTCATAATTGCCTTTGTATTGTTAGATTTTCAAAAAAATATAAAGATAGCAGGTTATTTTTACCATTCAGGTATCCCTGCGTAACTAACACAGGGGTCTTTAAAACCATCCACAGCTCTAGCAGCAAGCAAGAAACTACAGAAATGAAAACAGCAGGTCACATAAATTGTTTATGAAGTTTATACTTTAAATGTGTTAGACATTAGTACCTCAAAAACTTTATTAAAAATTAGAAATCACATTAGGGCTACATAAATCAAGATTAAAAATTGTGCAAATCCAAATACACATTGAATTATACAATAAGCCCAAAAACATATTCCTAATGCTTGAGTCATCTTTTTTTTTTGGAGGTAGAGGGAAAAGAGAAGTAACTCCTGCTGCTAAATTAGAAATCATAAGCCCCAGAAGCACCGTACATATACAACAAGAATTAAAAAACTGGATCCAAGAATTCTAACTGATGTTTAATCAAAGAAAAATACAGAAAGCTGCAAATGTGTCTTTTCAGGGGCTGATTTAACCTACAGAGAGGGACAACTGAAGAGAAACTTCTCTTCTTCACTGGCAACTCAATAACAAGAACATGGAAACCATGGTATAATATTTTTTTCAGCTTACAAAGGTTAGAAGGAACACTCCGTTAAAAAAATAGAGCATTGCCTTTCATTTCCACATATCCCCAGCTTCCCAAATAGTCCTCCTACTTTTTTCTTACAAACTCGAGAGAAAAAATTTCCCTTGGTACTCATTATAAAACCCCAGAATGCTCTTGACATTGCCATTTTAACTGTCTATTGTTCTCCTAACTCCAGGAAATCTCTGAAAGCCAGACATAATGACTGTTGTGACGGTTTTCAGTAACAAGAAGTGAAGTTTCCTGTCAAAAGAAGTGCTCTCTCCATTTTCATCATATGTAAAACAAGATGCTTCCATGAGCACCTTCATAGACAGATGAGCTTCTTTGAGACCCTGAAAATGTACTACATAGGATGAAAGAACGAATCAAAATGACAGATAAATGTGTGGGAGTTTTTCCCTTTTAGCTATAGCAAACTCTGATTTATTTCCCAATTAGTACTGATTCTTTTGTCAGAGACTTGGCTTTTTGCTCCAGAGCTGTCAAGAGCATATTCTAGATATTGATTCAACACAGGAGCAAAAAACAAATTAGGAGTTGGTGTTTATTTGGAATACTCTAGATCCTAGACTAAATGGACTGGCTATGAAACATGTTCTATTATAACACTCCTCCATTAACTGCTTCAGGTCCCCATGATTCCAAATCTCCCATTCAGATTGAGAGGCCCCCATCTTTAGTACAGATCTACTGGCCAGACCAGCAAAAGAAAGGCAGCTTGTTTCTGAGGGAAGAGTCCAAGATCAGGATTCAGAAGTCCTGGGTTCAAGTGCTGTACAGTCCTTAACCTGCAGAGCTGCTGAAAGCAGAGACTCACCTTCATCTGTTTCACTTCTTCTATGTGAGCAAATGGGAAGGGATGTATCAGATCAAATGAGATAACATATCGATACAGTTCACAAATATGGGATGCCAAAAAGGCCTTACCGTTAACAAGAGCAAGAGTTTGCCTTTTTGAAATTGTGTTACACAAATATATCCTTGTGTGACTCAGTTTTCTTACCTGTAAAATGGGAATAATAAAAACACTCATTTCACAGATGCTCTTAGATGCATGCATCCATGCTTTTTATCATTTGCTCTATCTGTGCTATCTATGCTAGGCACTCTTCTAAGAGCATATGTTAGCTCTTCTAAGAGTGCCTAGCATAGATAAATAACAAAAATATTAGCTGTTACCTTTGGTACAAAGGTACTTTATTTACTTAGAAGTGTAGATCCATAGTACCGCAGATATTCAAAATGTGACAGAAGTATAACAAAGTGAAAAATTAGACACAAACATAAAGAGAGATGAGCTATGCCCAGAGCATCTGCTTTGTTGTAATAGTGGTCTAGTTAGGCATAAAGCAATAACCATAGGAGGATGGCTGGGAAAGGATTTGAACCAGGCACACAGCAACTCAAAGTACAGTAAGAGGCAAAGACTGTAGAGTGTATCAATCTCACTTTTAAAGGTTAAGGGGCTTGAACGCTAAATGTGAAATGTACAGAGGCACACACACTTCCTCTGACCTCTAGGTCTGGCTGATCCATAGTAGTTGTCCCTCAAAATATTTGAAAAATGAGTGAATAGATGGGTTGAACACACTGCTTTCAATACAATCTTCTTGCAGAGTTCCTATTATAATACAGACTGCTTGATATTAAAAGGTGTCTACACAAAAGACAAACGAAAACCCAAAAGATGTGCACTCATGCCTTAATTCATTAAATACTTAGTATTCACTGTATCTCAAGCATGGTACAGAAGTTGTTTTATGAATAAAGTCTAGTTTATGCAATTACAGAAATCTAAAGTTTTTAGAAGAAGAAGTTGGTCTCTATCTTGGGCTGGAATCTAGTCATAGTGGAAATAACTAATTACATTCCTCCCTAGTTGGTTTCTTACAGGCAGGTCTTCTCTAAGTCCAAGCCTTAGTGATGCTATTTATGTCAGGACACTTCAATCTTAAGAAACTAAAGGAAAATAGAAAATCTTTTTCAAAAGGATGTAATTGTACCAGATGATATGCAAGAGATTTGGGGGCACGTAATTAATTACAATAATGCCTTACAACAAATTTATACTGATGGAAGGAAGATGTGTGACAATATTGAATTATGGGCAAGTTTTTAAAAATGGAGTTTTATTAGAGTTCAAATTAAATGCTAATAAAACATCGCCAAGAAGAAATCCTCCTAGGACTACTTTAATGACTAGAATCACTCATAATCAGTAGATAGTTAGGATGCAAATAGATGCAAGTAAGGCATTTGAAAATGGCCCTTCCTCTCAAGCAGGCTAAATGTTTCCTAGCAAACTTATTTACACTATTCATTTGCTCTGTGGGTCCTTTCTTCATAGATAAAACAAAGTAAACTTCAGACTTACCCTGGAGAAATTATTAAAAACTCTCAATTAATGAGGTACAAATGAACGTCATTATTGAAGAGAGAATCAGGGTTCTGTCAGATGACTGCAGCCAACTACATCTGGATTTATTTTTAAATGAGTGTTTATACTCCACCATCCAAGTTCTCATGAGAGGCTCTGTCTTTGCATACAAAGCAGGAAAAAAACTGCTGAATGAAGTCAGTGTGCTGAATGGAACCGGAGAGTGGGTGGAGGGGAGTGCCTACTCTTTTTTCCCTCTTTTTTTTTTTCAGCTGTTACTTTTTCTTCTCCTCCTATCTGGTATTCTTTGATACACTCTGACAGCTTGTTCAAACTGAGGAGCCTAAGAAGGATCCACCTGACAACCTAGACTCAGGAAAAGCACATGCGAAAATGCCGTTTCCAGCCACTGTACGATCATCGGGCCTCGGAGAATGGTGCTAGTACGTTTCCAAAGTACTTCGGAGGCTGCAAAAAAAATGTTAACAAACATTACCTCATTTGATACAACCACCTGTGGCATAGGAAAGGCAGGTGTCTTCATTTTACAGGTAAGAGAGGTTAATGATGTGATCAAGTCTATGCTATTAGAAAAAGCCCAGCATCAGGGCCAACCTTCTTACTATTGGTCTGTGGTGATGTCCCCACACTACACTGCCTAAGTAAATAATCTTACGTCTTTTTACACACCCCCTACGGTAAACTGAAACACCCTGGCATCTGATTCACTTATGTCTGTGGGAAGCCGAGCCCTGGGTAGGAGAACCACCAGTGGTTCAGCCCGCCGCCTCATTGTAATTTCACAAAGGACTTAGTAGCTTCTGGGACAGTGATTTTTCAGGTGTCAAGTGCAGTTTTAAATGCATCTGCTTCTCCACTGGGCAAAAACACAATCTGGTAACAATACCCAAGGCAAATCACCTGTACTAAATTTTTATTTCTCAGTAAATATGAGATGTTCACTGGGGGCAGGTGTGGCTAGGCTTGTAAGGATAAATGAGAGGCAACTGAAGAGTATTTTGCAAACACAAAACTTAAGACAAATGCTTAAACTACCTCCAAAACTTTGGATGTTATCTTTCCCTTCTTCTTGGAAAGAATAATTCCATAAATATTGCATTAACATGAAGGAGATTATTTTTTCAATGAACACATGGCAAAAATCTGATAAGACTATTAATATCAGTTTAGGTTTGGGGAAATCTCAGGACTGGAAAATCTTAAGATGATTTTAAGACTATTACCATTGAGTAGTTTCCACACCTGGATGGGCATAAAAATCCCAAAGGAGGGCCCCAGAAACCAGACAACCTACAGTAAGTACTCTGCCAGTCCCCAGAAGTCAGAGAACCTAGCGTAAGTACTTTACCAACTCCTAGAAATCAGAGAACCTAGAGGTAGTACTCTACCAACTCCTAGAAATCAGAGAACCTAGAGTTAGTACTCTACCAACTCCCCAAAACCAGACAACCTAATAGAATGAGTACTCAGAAGCCATGCTATTCCTCCCCCAAAAAGGCCTCATAATAGATTCTAAAGAAGGACAGTTTTAAAACAGCTTCCCGCCTCTCTGGACACCTACAGAATTTTGTGGATTGGAGAGTTGCAAATCTTACCCAGGTGCTGATTACTCCAAAAAGCAACGGGAACTGTTCAAGAGAAACAGCAGCCAGCAATGGGGGCTTCACAGACATTTTGAGCATAGTGACTGACACCTCTGATTTTTTTTCCAAACCCGGTGCACCCAATCAAACCCCAAAAATCTTCATTTAACATTTATTGTGTGCAAGACATTGGTGGCTCCTGTCTTCTTACTTTGTATTTAGAGTAAAACATGACAACTTTGCCACAAGCAAACAAACAGAGACACACACCTCACACCTTAGCAGAAGTGAACCTGTTGAGAAGGCTATCATGAGGAAGAACCTGCCAGGTCAGCAGTGATTACCATGGCAACAACAGTCAATGGCACTCTAATTTTCAGCTCCTAATGCAATGATCTGAGGTTTGAGTCTCCCTTGGGAGGTTTCTGTTGGCTTTTATAAGAAGCCTAGATAGACTTGTTGTCTTCCATTGGGCAGTTCTGGCAGAAAGGAATGTACTCTTTATTAAGGGTTGTTCACAGTCCAGATACAAAACAGAGAATAAAGATTCTGAACTCTATTACTCGCTGATTGACTTGCTTTTGAGCAGTCATCAGAAACTGTTCAGCTCTAGCCTATGAAAAGCCACTAGATCACTCAGATGGGATGGTTTCCTGGTACATTAGATCAAGTTTCAACCTCACTTGTTCCATTGAGGACTAATATTTGTTTGATGCTGTATATTCTATTTTTAGAGTAAACTATCAGCCTATGAAATGGTCTGAATACACTAAAACGATTTCAGCATACCAAGTCAAAATGTGTACTGTTTGAATTAAATGCAGGTAAATCAGGCCGGGTGCGGCAGCTCATACCTGTAATCCCAGCACTTTGGAAGGCCGAGGTGGGTGGATCACCTGAGGTTGGGAGTTGGAGACTAGCCTGGCCAACATGGTGAAACCCCATCTCTACTAAAAATACAAAAATTAGCCAGGTGTGGTAGTGCACGCCCGTAGTCTCAGCTACTCAGGAGGCTGGGGCAGGAGAATCGCTTGAACCCAGGAGGTTGCAGTGAGCAGAGATCACGCCATTGCGCTCCAGCCTGGGTGACAAGAGCTAGACTCTGTCTCAAAAAATAAATAAATAAATGCAGATAAATCAAAATACAGATATATTTTCCTTTGAATGCACTGGTACACTGGTATCTCATACAGTTGACAACAAGAGCGCTTGGCAAAATAAGTTTTGGATTATGCTGAACCCAAGTCAATTTATAACTTGACTGGATTTGATGATCTGATATTTGCCTTGAGGGGAGAGTGTCTTCGAGTTGGAAGGCATCTTAGAGATAACTTAGTCCATCTTCATAGCCAGGGTACAAAAAAAGCATATGTAATATGCCTCCCCCATTTTATTCATTTATTTATGTAAATAAAATACAAGAAGTCTTCAAAAAGTTCATGAAAAATGAATATTAAGAAAAAACTATACATGGATTTCAAATTTTTTTTGCACCAAAATAAACTCATACTAAGTTGTTATAACATATCTAAACAGGATCTAGTTTAAGGCACTAAGAAGTATAAGACATCAGTTTGCAAAGTGCCCCTATCCAAGCAACAAGAATTCTGCTAAAATTGAAGGGCAAACATCAAATTTACTGTGATTCTTGGGTGGAAGAATGCTGAAATTACTGATGCATCACAAAATGTTTACGAAGACAATGCCCCAGAGAAATGAGCAATTTACAAATGGATAACTCATTTTAAGAAGAGATGAGATGATGTTGAAGATGAAGCCCATAGAGGCAGACCATCCATTTACATTTCTCTCATTACTAAAGACTTGGAGTATCTTTTCCAATACTTGATGGCCTGTGAAGTTTCCTGCTATGTAAACTGCCTGTTCAAATCCTTTGCTCAAGTTTTCTACTAATAACATGTATTGCTTTAAAAATAACTCCCCACCCCCACTGAAATCAGTTGAATAAGACAGGCAACAAGAAAAACTCACACATGAGAACAGATGGCAATGATTCTATCCTTTGAAAATGGCAGTGACTCTACAGTCAAAAGTGAATTTGAGACCTGTGCAATAACAGGGACAGCAACAGCTAATGATGTTATGTGAAATACCTGATATAGTGCCTGCATATAGCAGATATTCATTAAACACCACTTCCTCCCCCTATCTTCTAAGATTATCACAACAAATCTGTAAGAAAGAAAAAACATGTATTATTTTTATTTCTCTTTAATGCATAACAAAACTGCCTAGAGGCATGGCCTTTCTTGCCTGATCAGTGAGAGAGGCATGGCTAACTCAAGTGCTACTGGTTCCTCCCTTTATTTCTATTAGCAGTGTAAGCTTGGAAGTAGATAACCTGGTTTTGCATTCCAGCTTCTCAACTTGTTAGCTGACTGGCTTTATGAAAGGAGTCACCTCTTTGAACCTCAGTTTCCTCCCCTCAAATGGGGTAAATAATGATGGCATTTTCCTCTTGGGGTTAAGGATTAAATAGTTCCACGTAATCCATGAAGAATGATGCCAGGCATCTAGTAAGTGCTCAGTGAGTTTTAGCTGCTGCTATTAATATTATTATTAGTCAGCTTATCCTTGGTGTGTGGGAATTGTGCTAAATGACACTGTAAACAGTCTTTCATGAATGTCCTCCAGTTGTGTGGTTTTTAGAATTCATTTTGAAAAGTTAAAGATTATACAACAGCATATGAACACTTAATATATCTTAAATATTGGATTTAATTCTAAGCACTTTTCATAATCCATTTTTTCCCAATTTGGCTTAAGAAAAATCTTGAAAGATAAATATTCAAGATTTTAATTATCAAGACTATCATTTGTTCTGGGTCCCAAGGCAGTTCTCAGGGTCTTGTTTGTTGATTTCAGGATGTGGCTGCATGTACTGGACATTTCTCAGCAGATCCAGCATACAGAATGATTGATTCTGGGGCTTTCTGGATGTTCTACTCTTTTTAGGTCCACTTTGGGAAAAAAAGGGAAGCTACTACTTTTCTGGGGTGTTTTTCCCAATGTATTCCTTGCATCTCGAGTAATACATCTGAGGAATTCACTGACTAGATAAAACAAAACTGTTGGAAAATGGGCCTCCATACAAAGTAGGCTAGCACTTTTGTTTTCTTTGTACAAGGATTATTCTTATTCATATTTCTATCCATGGAAGAGAGGATATTGACCAAAGAAATAAAGCCAACTGGTGGTAACCGTGGCCTGAATACAAGCAACCCTCATTTTTTTCAGCTTTAAAAAATAAAATAAAATAAAGGCAGGAGGCAGGGAATCAAATCAAGCAAGTGTGACAAATGCTGGCATAAAGGAGAGCAGCAACAACAACAGGAGGGCTGCCTGGAATCTTAAGTAAGTGGTCAAAACTCACCGAATTACAAAAATCAATACTATGGTACTAAAAGAACAGTTGGGAATTCTAGCGTTTATGTTATTGTTTAGTTACATTATGACTCGCCAGCATCTCCTGGCTAGTCACTGTTGCTTCTGCAGGCCTCACCTCATTGTAAGATGAGATGTGGGATAAAATATACTCTCCTCATTTCCTACTTGCCATAGATTCTAGGGTTTTATAGTTGATACCTAAATCTAGAATTAAAACAAAATTTCCTACATGCTTACATTGATGCTATCATACTTACATGAGTGGTGTAATTTATTACTTTACATCATCCCAGCAGTTCTGTTAGTGGTGGCTCATCTAATAGTGGCTCATCTCTTTGCAACCTGAATGCACACATGAGACTCCAGCTGCCCCTCTAATTGGAAGACAAGGATTTCACTTGTTGTAAACAGCCAGGTGCTTCCTCCAAGGACATCATTTTGATTATGCTTTTTCTAGACATGGCTTCCCTGCAAATGCAGGCTACTTTCACTTCATGTGAAAGTAGTAGCTTCCCTTTTTTTCCCAAAGTGGACCTAAAAAGAGTAGAACATCCAGAAAGCCCCAGAATCAATCATTCTGTATGCAGGATCTGCTGAGAAATGTCCAGTACATGCAGCCACATCCTGAAAATCAACAAACAAGACCCTGGGAACTGCCTTGGGACCCAGAACCAATGATTATATATATATACTTCGTCAAACAATACAGAGCCAGTTCAACAGTTGCCACCTCAGTCAAGGAAAATCATCAGTGAGAAAACGAATAACATCCAGTCATCGGTGACTCAGCCTCTATTTGGCTCAACTCAAGGGTAGGGGTGGGTTGAGGTGAGGACATGTCATCTTGACAAGGCCATTTTGATACATGGGATATTTTTGATTTGGCCTAAAATTATTACTTGTCTTGTGGGGCTGGAAGGAGGACTTTACATGTTTATGTTTCTTAATATTATTTAACATTTTATAAGACATATGATATAAACATGCATAAAAGAGTCATTCTCATATGGCTCATCGCTCATAGATGACCATCAGTATTTAAAAAATGAGAAGGTGGGTGAAGGGTTCCACTTATCCTCTGAGGATTGACTTGTCAATTCTTCTATAATGCTTATTTTGAAAACATGAATTTGTTTCAACACAACTGATATATTAGGGAACACTTAAAGTATAATGCAAATGTTGGGTTTATGCATTATTTCATCCATGAGAAATACTAGGTGACTGCAGAAAACCACACCCAGCTGAACCAAAGCAGGTGCACATGCCTCTAACACCTATCGGATACCTAAGTCACTGAGTGTTATGAGCCACCCATCCATTCACATTGCTGTCTACAACCTTCCTTCCAATTTCAGGAAAACCCTCCTTCCACCACTTCATAATAACTCACAAGCAGCAACCTTTCCAATGTCTACTTCCACAAGCAAACTTAGTGGTTCTTTTTTCAAGGAAAAATGACATACTTCTTGAAGTCTTTCTTACGTGTTCTTTAACCATTTAACCATATTAACAGTGTTACCATTTTTATTAGGTTTCTTTTTGTTTTAATGTTTATTGACAAAGTTTTTAAATGTGTGCCACTAAGCCCATTTTAACCATAAATCCTGTGGGTTTTGTTGCACAATTTTGCATAGCATGGTGATTCTCAGAACACTTACGTCACTTTATAGCAGAACTGACTATATCTTTCTGCAACTTCAATTCTCTGATTTCTCCCTTAAAGCAGCACTAGCCAAATTAACTTACTCTCAATTGATAAACACATTTGACTGCTTAATTATAGAACCCATTCTGCTTCCCATTGGAATATCTAGGTGCTGGATAACTCTAATTTTTATAGGCCCCTAAGTACATTAATATTGTCTGACCAATCACCATGTGTGAATAGGGTTGAGGGAAGATAAAAGAATGCTTGATTCATGTGATGATCCTTATTCTCAGTTCTAGACGACACAGAATTTCTTTTAGTATTCTTTATACATGTTATTAAACATCAGAAAGTTTCTTTATAATAATAGAAGTTGGCATAACTGAGACCCCCTTGGAAGCTAACCGTTGTCACAGGTTTTTAACAAATATCTTCATTATGTTTTGCTGACAGTAAAAATTGTACTCACAAAACATGAGTGAAGGGAAAAGTAAAAAAGCCATCTAACTAGGAAGAAGATAGGGGAATGGAGTAAGGGTCACTGATACATTTTGCCATATTATTTGATAATTTAAAAACAAAAACAGGCAATTTTATATCTTCCCAGAGTCATTTTGTTCCTGGAGGGGTATCCATGACCATCATTTTTAACTTCTTATTACCATTCTCCTGCAATCCAGCTCCTTGCCTCATTACAGCCTTCAGCAAGAGATGCCAGAATTTCTTTCTTTTTTGTTTCCCCCGCAATGGAAAAAGAACTGTTTTCTTTAGGAAAGAAAAAAAAACTGTCTTGCTCTTAATGTGGATAAAGCATATAAACTCTCACTGCAGAACACACTTTAAAAGCCCTCAGGGTTTGTTCTTGTTTTCCAACAGATGAAAGTGTCAATACAGACCTGCCACCTCTCTCCCCACAGAACTAAGTGATGCCCTGATCTCCTTTATAGAAAGTTACTGGGTGGAAGCAGGGTAAGCAAAGCCACTTTCAACTCCATTTACTGATGACAGTCAAGGGCATAGCTGGAACCTAGTACAAGTCTTTAGCTACCAAAGAGACATTTTCTTAGACTGTAAGGTATGAAGAACAAGCCACCTTGTGGGTGGATAAATAATGTGTTTGTGTATGTGTTGACTACAGTTGGGGGTCTACATGTATTCTTTGCCCTGTTTCTAACTGCTTCAGGGCAGCTTACAAAGATGCATATTATATAGTATGATAAAATGCACGCAAAATATTAAAAATGAAGCAATGTATTGTGCATATATATTAATATATATGAATACACACACATCTGAGGACTTCACTGACTTGATAAAACTGTTGGAAAATGGGCCTCCATACAGATATATATATACACACATATATCTATATTAAAGTCAAAATTCACACTCTAATTAAAGAGACTCATGATGAGAAGAAAGGGTGAAGAAAATCTTCAGTTCAAAAGGAACCCAAGAGAAAGAGAAGCTTAGGTGAAGGAAAATCATCACTGAAGCCAGAGTCCTGGGTTCAAATATCAACTCTGCCATTTACTTCCTGGGCAAATAATTTAAACTCTGAGTTTCAATTCCTCATAGATAAAAATGAGAATCCTCCCCACCTAAGACTGTTTTTTCAAGATTAATGTTCCTAAGGCAATAGGAGACATAAATTCTGCCCTAAATCTCTGGCTTTTACACTACATTCAAAAATTCAGACTAGATGGCTACCATAGTTCAGACACAATCTTGGTTGTCTGGGCACTATGGAACTGAAAGACAGGATATGAGCACACATCTATGGCCCCCATACCCAAGGGGCAGTAGGTCAGAGACAAGCTGGGTCAACAGAGTGAAAGGATTGAGAAACCTCAAAAGGACTATGGCCTGACTTCAAATCTTTCCATGTTGAGAAGCCCCTTAGGACAATGGCTGTCAAAAGTGGTCCCTGGACCAGCAGCATTAGCATCACCTGGGAACTTGGTAGAAATGCAAAATATTTGCCCCTACTGCACACTTACTGAATCAGAAATTCTGGGAGTGAGGACACAACAAATGGACTTTAACAAAGCCTATAGGAGATTCTGATGCTCACATAATTTTGAGAACCACAGCCTTAGGAGACAGTCTCGCTTCAGTGGGTTCAGGAGTTTGTATCTGTTTCAAATCAGAGTTTAGAAAATGTCTGATTTAGTTCAAGAAATCTCAGTATCCCTCTGGCCCTGTGATATAACACAGATCAGCAATGGATTCACAATACTCTCTGGCTATGTGACAACAAGATGCAGGTCACCCAGCAACTCGACACTTCCTCAGACCACTACAGGTCAAAGTCAATTCCTGATCCAACTAGAAATGTCACGAACATGCCTTTCAGATGGAATTGAAGGATTCCTGGACAGAAAGCAATGGAGGATGTAATCCTCTTAGAATGAAAGGAGTGTAGAAAATAACCTACTGGTGTAAACATGGTCCACAGTGGCAGGACTGATGTAGAGCTACCTGACGCACATAGCCAGCACCAACTTTTTATTTCTGTCTGTTCAGTGTTGGAAGCTGTGGCTGAATGCTCAAACAAGACAAGCTGCTGTACCTGGTGACCTTCTCTTCCTCCCCCTCCCCCACACTCAAATCAACTCCAGAAGCAACAGAGTTTAAGTTTATGTAGCTCTCTCAGAGAACATATAGGCTCCTTGATTTTCCTCCTTTTTACTTGTCTGCTTGTTCATCTGATTGCATTTTCACTGATCCTCTGAGGGAAGAGAAAAAAACAGGCAAAACAGGCTTGGTGAAGAAGAGATGCAATTACAGTGGAAGCTAAAATAGAGGATTTCTGATTAACTGGTGGATTTCAGTTATCCTGTAAGGGTTCCAGAAGGGGGCCCTGTCTGTACTTACCAATCCTAAAAAGAAAATCTGTCATAGCTACAAATCACAATTCCTAAGTACCGTATTATATACTAATGTTGCACCAAAACTAAGGTCACACTGATTATTAGGCAGGAGGCTGCACCCCCTGCATAACGTTAAGAATATGCTACAAATCATAATTGACTAAAACTGCAGCTATTAAACAATATAAAACACACTGAACAATATGGCACAGATTTGCTTACTTACTCACTGTCAACGCATGCAATGACAGCCTTTCTCATGTTTTCCATACCTTTATGAGTCTTAGAAATTAAATATTTCTTACAGTTACAAAGGAACACTCATCTTACACAAAAACCTTGGAAAACTAATGAATGGGTATTTGTGTCTAATAACAGTGCATAAAGTTTCCAAGGAATATCTCTGGTTGTAACGTTTGCCCTATTCTCTTTAGAAACAGAGTTAGCTTATCACTCTGAACTCTCCCCAGAGATACACAGTACCTCAATTTTTTTTTTCTTTTTGTGGAGAACGGGGTCTCACTATGTTGACCAAGCTGGTCTCAAACTCCTGAGCTCAAGCTATCCTCCCACTTCTGTCTCCCTGAGTGCTGGGATTACAGGCGTGAGCCACTATGCCTGGCAGTACCTCAAATTTGATGAAGATAGTTCATAAAAGGAATCACAAGTTATAGAGTATTGTAATTAGAATGAACCTTCGAAAGTATCTATTGCAACCCTTCCTCATTTTATGGGCAAGAAAGCTGTGTGACCCAGGGGAATTCAGTGACTTGCCCAAAATAACACAGCTAGTTAGGAGCACAGTGAGAACCAGCACTTTCACCTCTGGACTCTCCAACCTACTATTCTTTCCACCGTATCATTCTACCAATGAACTCCAAGCAAAGCAAAACAGGCATGACAGTCTCTGAGGTCACCTGCAAGGCCAAGTGTACCCACGATATAGAAAGGTCATCTTCACGAACAACTTTTTTATTATTATTATTATATTTTAAGTTGTAGGGTACATGTGCACAATGTGCAGGTTTGTTACATATGTATACATGTGCCATGTTGGTGTGCTGCACCCATTAACTCGTCATTTAGCATTAGGTATATCTCCTAATGCTATCCCTCCCCCCACCCTCACCCCACAACAGTCCCCGGAGTGTGATGTTCCCCTTCCTGTGTCCATGTGTTCTCATTGTTCAATTCCCACCTATGAGTGAGAACATGCGGTGTTTGGTTTTTCGTCCTTGCGATAGTTTGCTGAGAATGATGGTTTCCAGTTTCATCCATGTCCCTACAAAGGACATGAACACCAAAAGCAATGGAAACAAAAGCCAAAATTGATAAATGGGATCTAATTAAACTAAAGAGCTTCTGCACAGCAAAAGAAACTACCATCAGAGTGAACAGGCAACCTACAAAATGGGAGAAAATTTTCACAACCTACTCATCTGACAAAGGGCTAATATCCAGAATCTACAGTGAACTCAAACAAATTTACAAGAAAAAAACAAACGACCCCATCAAAAAGTGGGCAAATGATATGAACAGACACTTCTCAAAAGAAGACATTTATGCAGCCAAAAAACACATGAAAAAATGCTCATCATCACTGGCCATCAGAGAAATGCAAATCAAAACCACAATGAGATACCATCTCACACCAGTTAGAATGGCGATCATTAAAAAGTCAGGAAAAAACAGGTGCTGGAGAGGATGTGGAGAAATAGGAACGAACAACTTTTTTTTTTAAGATGAAGTGTCACTCTGTCGCTCAGGCTGGAGTACAGCGGTGTGATCTTGGCTTATTGCAACCTCCGCCTCCCGAGTTCAAGTGATTCTCCTGCCTCAGCCTCCTGAGTAGCTGGGATTACAGGCACGCACCATCATGCCTGGCTAACTTTTGTATTTTTAGTAGAGATGGGTTTCACCATGTTGGCCAGGCTGATCTTGAACTCCTGACCTCAAGTGATCCACCCATCTTGGCCTCCCAAAGTGCTGGGATTACAGGCGTGAGCCACCGTGCCCAGCTATAAACAACATTTTTATAGGAGATCTGTCAGTCCTTACAAGGTTTAAGCAAAATCCAAAGATGTGGAGCCACTTTAGACTACCTCCTCAAAACTTGGATTTAGGAAATCTACTTAAAAGGAAAGTATTCATTACACCCAGATCAGTCTTCCAAAAAGGTTGTGGCTTAGAGGCTATAGCGGTTCAGTGACCAGGATCAGGTAAAGGCCTCCCAAGACCTAAAGTTCTCAGAGACTCAGGATGTGTCACCCAATTTCTCCTGGGTAACCTGGTGAATCATGAGCAATCCCTTTTTTGGCAGCTGAATTAACATCAAGATCTTGCTGGCAATTAAATCCCCTTTGTAATCTGACTCCACTAGAAGGCTAGAGAACAGAGGCTCAAGATCAGAATTTTTCCACTACACACTTTTCCCTGCTATGTCTGTGTTTGGCTGAAATGTAATCATTTTATACACACACACACACACACACACACACACACACACACACACACCACATACACTTCATCCTGGTGGTAACCCACAGATTTGCCTCGGCATACTCTTGGAATAAGCTGTTTTATCTTTCATGGGCTCTAATCTTCTATGAATGCTAGAAGTAGAAAAATCTCCACTAATTAGAAAAAGATTAAAAATGAAACACAATTCCTAGGATTGCAAAAGAAGGCAGATACATATTTTAAGATTTTCAGAACAAAAAAGATGAAGCAGGAAGTATTTGGGGGGTATTTAATTTCTTAGTGACTCCTCTCCAGGCCCAAATGACATAGAATTCAGTTAATTTGTAAATACTCTATATGCAAGAGACTCTCCAATAGCCTATTTTTCCAAATATTCTACTGTTCAAAACCCTTCAGTGGCTCCCTCATGCCATCAGAATAAAAAATATGGTTTTCAGTCTGGCAGGCAAGTTTTTTACAATCTGTTCAACGTTATTTAAATAAAATTACTCTTTTAAACCCCATGCTGTATTAGCTATCTATTACTGTGAAACAAATTAGCCCAGAACACAATGGCTCAAAACAACAATAAACGTCTATTATTTCACATAGTTTCTGCAGGTTAGGATTCTGAGTGCAGCTTAACTGGGGTGGTTCTCGCTCAGAGGCTCCCATGAAGGTATAGTCATGTTGTTGCCTCGGACTGTAATCATTTGAAGACTTGACTGAGACTGGAATATCTGCTTTCATGATGGATCTTGCATAGTCCTGCCACATGGACCTCTCCAAGAAGATGCTTAAATGTCCTCACAACATGGTGGCTATTTTCCCTTGGAATGACAGATCCAATAAAGCAAGCTGCAAGCTGCAATATCTGTTATAACCTAGCCTCAGACATAACCCACACATCATTATTTCTACATCTTATTGGTTATGCAGGCCATTCCCATTCAGTTTGGGAGGAAACTACACAAAAGTGTGAGTACCAGTAGCTGGGGATCATGGTTGGCCACCCTGGAGGCTAGCTCTACATGATACACTAGCCCACCTCACTGTCTTCACTCATGCAGTTCTCTCTGCATGGTTTTGATTTAGAGTTGGTGAAGCTGGGTTCAATCTCAGTCAGTCAATGATTGGAATCTGATTTTGAGCCAAGTCTCTCAGGCTTAGCTCCCACATCTGTAACACAAACAGTATAATCCCTGCCACAAAAAGGAACTGTGAGTACTAAGTGAAATCCAGTATAGAAAGTACATTGTAGACTACAAATACGTAACATTATTTCTCAAAACCCACCCACTCTTTAAGCCAAAAAAAAAAAAAAAAAAAAAAAACCTTTAACCTCTCAATTGGAAGTCCCAGCCTCCTCTTATAGGCTCTGACAACACTGCATATTCCCCACAGTCTTCCCATATTCTGCACTTATTATAAGTATGTATTTAAATGACATTCACCCCTATTAGGTTATAAATTCCGTGAGGGCAGGATCTCCCACAGCACTGTCAACAGAATAATCAATAAACATTTGATTAACTGAACTGTCGTGCCTTTAGAAGGACCTTTACCCTTTAGCCACCACCCTAAGAGACCGGGAGACCTCTTTGTACCCACTGCCCATGGGGTACACAGGCTATAACAGAGAAAAATATTGGTTTTATTTCTAGATATCCAAAGCATCTTCAGGCTTGCTGTAGAGAAAATAGTTTGACACTTTTAAAAGTACTCAGGTTCAAAAACTGAAGTTCTAGCAGAAGCAATAGTTTTCAAGGAATATATGCCAAGCCAGTTTATCCCTCTACTTGTGGACGAGAGAAAGTCGTGGAAGTTTGGGGGTAAGAGTGTGTCAGGCAGAATTCTAAAGAAACACACACATGTGCACGCACACACATACCCCCAAGGTTTCCTGTTGCTTGGTTATTCAATCAACTGCTAACCCAGGTACTGCAGTGAAGGAACTTTGCAGAAAGAATTAAGATTACTAATGAGCTGACTTTAAGACAGGGAAATTATGAGGGTAGGCCTAATGTAATCACCCGAGTCCTTAAAAGCAGAAGAGGAAGGCCAGAAGAGTTACTGAGAGAGATGCATTGGAAGAGGAAGGCAAAAAAGACGAGGCAGAAGGGAAGGTTAGAGAGATTCAAACCATGAGAAGGACTCAACCCACCATTGCTAGCTTTGCAGATGGAGGAAGAGAGCCATGGACCAAGGAACATGGACAGCCTCTAGAAGCTGAGAATGACCTGCCGCTGACAGCCAGCTAACAGATCTCAGTCCCACAATGGCAAGAAACTGCCAACCACCTGGTGAGCTCGGAAGTGGGCCTTGGTTTTGACCCTATGCCACCTGACACAGAGATGTCAGCAGAGTCAAGCTGGACTTCTGACCTAGAGAACTGTGAGATAATAAACTTGTAGTATTTTGTGCTGCAAAATGTGTGGTAATTTGTTATGGAAGCAATAGAAAACTAACACAAAGACTAACAGATGCCTCTTGTGGGCTTCTAAGAAGGAAGCAGTACTCTTCTTTCCCAATCCACACTAAGTCAAGCCCAGGTGGATAGGGGATGAATCCTTAGGTAACAAACACCAGGTAAGTTCAGGCAGATGCCTGTGCCTGGGAAATCCAGGAAAGTAGCAGCTCTGAGAAAAGCTCAGCACCCAGCAGGGGCCTGAGGGATGGAGGAGCTATGGCTGCACAGTGTGGGCAAGGAAATGAATGGAGGCCGTCTTACAGGTTCTTGGCTCTCCTGTGAGGTGCTAGAGAACACTGAGAGTTTTCCCCAAAATGTCAGTGATTAGGCAGGTGAACCAGGCTTCAGGGAACCAAAGGGATCTGTAGGACCCTGATGGATCCCAGGAGGCAGAAGAGAAATGAAAACTTCCAGCTGTGCACACAGCAGGGCCAAAGACCAATAGGAGCCCTACATCTGAACAGAAGCATATGGATATCAGAAAAACACCTGCTCCCCAGGACCTCACCCTTTGGGAGAAAGCAAAAGGAAAGAATCCAAAATCAACTGAGAATTTACTCAAACTAGAGATTAAGAAAAAAAGCCTGAAAGTCACTGAATTTATCATAAATTGGCAAGATTTATGATTTCTGCCATCAGTGGAAATGGAAATTCAAGAGGTGAGAAACATTCAGCTACAGACAAATAAAGCTCTATTTTGCATATCCAAGTCTGTGACTGTGAATTATAACTGCCAGAGATAGCTAACATTTATTGAGCAGTTATTATCTGCCAGGAGCTGTATTTTACATGTATCCTATAATTTGCTATGCTTAATAACCCCCTAAGTTTTGCATTATTATTATCATCCCATTTTATAGGTAGAGAAATCAAGGCTAAGAGAAGTTAAGAAAATATCCCAGACATGTTACAGTTGTTAAATGGTAGATTCCAGAATCAAACATCTACCCAGTAGTACTTTCTCCTTGAATTCTTTGCAAGGAGTGTGTGACAGAAATGATATTATTTATAGAAGCATCTTATGAATACTTCTTTGATTATATTATTTATAGGATCACTTTTATGAACTCTTTGGTTTCACAATAGCAACAGCAACTGCTAGAATATACTGAAGGCATACTGCATGCCAAGCAGTTCTAAGTGGTTTCATGCATCATCCCAAAGTCATGACTTTCTCCATTTTATAGATGAGAAAAGTGAGGACCTGACTTGCCTAAGAGGCATGGCCTACATCTGACCTCCAGTCTTCATGCTCATAACCATGGGGCTACACAACCTCCCTACTCTGAGCCACCCTTAGGAATTAGAAATCAAGGAATGTTGCACTGGTTACTGAAGGCCCAGAAAGCGGATTCTGACAGAAACATGGAGGGGTGTTTATGGAAGAACACTGCCACACCAACAACTATGCTCACTATAGTTGTCCCTGAGGTGATCTAACATTTTTTTTTAACTTCTATTTTAACTAAAGGGGTACAAGTGCAGGTTATATAGGTAAACTTGTATCATGGGGGGTTGTTGTACAGATTATTTCCTCACCCAGGTATTAAGCCTAGTACTCATTAGTTACTTTCCTGATCCTCTCCCTCCTCCCACCCTCCACCCTCTGAAAGGTCCCAGTGTGTGCTGTTTCCCTCTATGTGTCCATGTGTTCTCCTCATTTAGCTCTCACTTGTAAGTGAGAACATGCGGTATTTGGTTTTCTGTTCTTGCATTAGTTTGCTAAGGATAATGGCATCCAGCTCATTCCATGTCCCTGCAAAAGACATGGTCTCATTCTTTTTTATGGCTGCATAGTATTCCATGGTGTATATGTACACAATTTCTTTATCCAGTCCGCCACTGATGGGCATTTCAGCTGATTCCATGTGTTTGCTATTGTGAATAGTGCTTCAATGAACATAGGTGTGCATGCGTCTTTATAAGAGAATAATTTATATTCCTTTGGGTATATACCTAATAATGGAATTGCTGAGTCGAACAGTATTTCTGTCTTTAGGTATGAGGAATTGCCACACTGTCTTCCACAATCGCTGAACTAATTTACACTCACCAACAGTGTTTAAGTGTTCCTTTTTCTCCACAACCTTGCCAGCATCTGTTATTTTTTGACTTTTTAATAATAGCCATTCTGACTGGTATGAGATGGTATCTCATTGGGGGTTTGAATGGAAGTTTTCTAATGATCAGTGATGTTGAGCTTTTTTTCACATGCCCTCTCATTTCTTTGACTTTTAAGGCCTACCATCAATTGAATAACAGCTATTGAGAAAGTGAACACACTTATTGTAAGTCCTATTCTAATTTCAGGGACACTGAATGTGTCTTAGAATGAGGATATGTGATACGTATATTTTCAGCTTATACCACTTGCTAAAGAAATTCATTTTCATTTATCCAATATTTTCCAAGAGCCAAGACTGTGTCAGAAGCTAGGGAGTCAGAGGTAAAGGACAAGGCCCCTCGTCTCACTGGACTCACAGTCTATTCTAGGGAGACTTTAAGCAAATAAATTACAATAGGCACTTACACAGAGAAAAGCATGTGGCGGTACATGAGCACACAGGAGCAGCAGCTAGCTGGAAGGGGAGGGGCTATGAAAGAGAAAACTTCCTGCAGTAACTTAGGATGCTGCAGTCCAGTTTGCAAGGATCTCAGAGTAAGCAGCAGGCTGAAGATAAAGAAGGGAGAGACCACGACATATTTAGGGTACTGTAAACACAACAGAAACTTCTTTCACTGGCCTCCACTGAACCAGCTCCTAAATTAACAAATATTCTCCACTCCTTCTGAAAGATGCGCTCACCAGTACCCATACCAAGTCAAGTGCTCTCAGCCTGAAGGCATCTCTACAGTATGCTGGGAGGATTTATGCTTTCCCAGTTGAGGGGCATGTGTGCCAAAGGTTATTTATACTGGTTCTCAATATGTTTGTGCGAGTTGTGCTTGGCATTACAATCACGTAACTTAATCATATTATAGAAACCAATGGAATATGAATATGAATCAAAAGACTTAGTACTTCTATAAAGCTAGATAGAATAGCCTCAAAAATACTAGGTCCCAAAAAATTACTGTCAAATTAGGAGTGAGGCAGCCATACAAGACTGGAAAATAAATCATAACAACCTGGAAGAATTCTGCCCTTGTATTCACTCTGTTTAAAAGAATCCCAAACTGGAACTTGTAAGTGACATATTATGGGTGTGGTTACACAAGAAAAATGACATGGGATTCCAATGAGTAGATTTCAATGGTGGAACCACATTCAAAGGAAAGGTCTTGTTCCTACATCAAAGGATTGGTGAACAATGTCCAACTATATGTTTTAAGTTAAAATAAACATTTTAAGAGATGTATGTAAAATAAACATTTTAAGATACTAATCTCTCATTATTTTAGCCAATATTTTTAAATTTAAAAATCATGCCTCAGATTAGACGGCTTCTACTATATTTTAACAGGAATGAAGCCCAGACTGTAGGCAGGCAATTATTTCCAGATGAAGGTTGGGGAGGTCAGGACTGCTCAAATCCCCAAAAGTTCTACATACATGCTAGGATATGTGGTTTGATGTAAAGGCTACAGAGGAGCCACTGATGTGATGAATTCCTATGTAAGAAGGATCACGTTGGAAATATGGAAAGTGCTTGGAGAGAGTCAAGGCTAGAGGCTGTTGATGTAAACCAGTGAAGAAATGTTAAGGCTTTAACCAAGGCAGGGGTGATGAAGGGAACATCATTTGTAGAGTAAAACGCCTGATACACACAGCACTGGGCAAGCTGGTAAGACAATGAAATATGTTTCAAAAATCCTTAAAACTATCAGGAGCTTTCACCCAAAAAAATCCAGTTTTAGGCACTGTCCATAATAAAATAACTAGAAATTTTCACATACATTTTTACATACAAGGCTCTTTTCATTGCTCCATTATGTACAGAAGCAAAAACTAGGAGATAACCTTAAATAATCAAAAATAGGACACAGAAAATTATGGTTCATCTAAATGATGGATATTTCACATGTGTATGTGACAATGAGGAAATGTTCTTAATGTAGGTATAAAAATACAATTTCAATTCTAAAAATCAGTTATTATACACACAACTAGAAATAAATATCTAGATACATACACAAAATAAAGCTTGATTCACAATGATTACAGTTATGATTATTGTAAAAATTATCTCTACAATGTAGGGTTACAGGTTATTTTCTTTACTGTGCTTAACAATATTTTCTACAATTAACATTACTTCTATAATCAGAAAAGATTTTTACAAAAAAAATTGCTTCCAGGTTTCAGACTTCATGGAATGGATGGATGGTGGAATCAAAGTCCTCATGCTTATTTCAAGTTGTAAAGAATACTCTTTTGGAGGTATTGAACAAATCCTTAACTCTTCACCATCTTTTGAATCTTTATTTTATTTATGAGACAGGGTCTTGCTCTGTCACCCAGGCTGGTGTTCAGTGGCATGATGATGGCTCACTTCAGTCTCAACCTTCTGGGCTCAAGTGATACTCCCACCTCAGCCTCCCAAGTAGCTGTTAACTACAGGAGTGCACTGCTATGCCCAGCTAATTTTTAGAAATATTTTTTGTAGAGACAGCGTTTCACCATATTGCCAGAGCTGGTCTCAAATTCATGGGCTCAAGCAATCTGCCCACCTCAGCCTCCCAAAATGCTGGGATTATAGGCATGACCCGTGATATGGTTTGACTGTGTCCCCACCCAAATCTCAACTATAGTTGTATCTCCAGAATTCCCATGTGTTGTGGGTGGAACCCATGAATCATGGGGGCCAATCTTTCCCCTGCTATTCTCATGATAGTGAATAAGTCTCACAAGATCTGATGGGTTTATCAGAGGTTTCCCCTTTTGCTTCCTCATTTTTCTCTCGCCGCTGCCATGTGAGAAGTGCCTTTCACCTCCCGCCATGATTCTGAGGCCTTCTCAGCCATGTGAAACTGTAAATCCAATTAAACGTCTCTTTGTTCCCAGTTTTGGGTATGTCTTTATCAGCAGCGTTAAAATGAACTAATACCATAAATTAGTACCAGGAGTAGGTGTTGCTGAAAAGATACCCAAAAATGTGGAAGCGACTTTGGAACTGGGTAACAGGCAGAGGCTGGAACACTTTGGAGGGCTCAGAAGAAGACAGAAAAATGTGAGAAAGTTTGGAGCCTCCTAGAGACTTGTTGAATGGCTTTGACAAAAATGCTGATAGTGATATGAACAATAAGGTCCAGGCTGAGGTGGTCTCAGATGAGGACAAGGAACTTGTTGGGAACTGGAGCAAAGGTGACTCTTATTATGTTTTAGCAAAGAGACTGGTGGCATACTTCCCCTGCCCTAGAGATTTGTGGAACTTTGAACTTGAGAGAGATGATTTAGGGTATCTGGGGGAAGAAACTTCTAAGCAGCAAAGCACTCAAAAGGTGACTTGGGTGCTATTAAGAGCATTCTGTTTTAAAAGGGAAACGGAGCATAAAAGTTCAGAAAATTTACAGCCTGATGATGCA